>NC_000021.9:7377865-7500890 GCF_000001405.40 Homo sapiens | reverse complement strand
GATCTATGGCCCTTATAGGATGAGTCAACAGAACTGCAAGTAACTGTCCTACATCAACATGCTAATTGGAGCCTTAGGTAGAAACAAGATGGGAAGAAGATACCTTTGGAGTTTTAGACCCAGAAGCTGCCAGAGGCTGGCAAAGCTTATACTCTTTGAGAAGCAGCTGTTGGCCTTCTACTGCGCTTGAAGGAAGCAGAACACCTTTGTTTTAATCATGATGTTTTTATGAGGCCCCAAATTCCTATTATGACTTGGGTCATGAGCTCCCTCAAAACCCATTGGATAGGGTACACTCAAGAATGTAGTATCATAAAATGGAAATGGTACATACAAGACCAGGATAAGCCAGAACTAAAAGCGGTATCATTTTTACTTGAAGATGTGCAAAACTTGCCAACTCAGGAAACCACAGGGCAAGTCCTGCATATAGGGAAGGAAACCTCCCCTGCCCAATGGGGCAAATCCTTTAAAGAACTAAGCCCAGAGGATCAGAAACACGCTTGGTTACTGATAGTTCCACCAAATACATTGATGGGACCTGATGCTGGGAGGCCGTGGCTTATAATCCTGTTAAAAACATAAGCGTTTCTGATGAAGGGAGGGGTGTGAGCAGCCAGCTGGCTGAACTAGAAGCCATCCTCCGAACTATTCAGGAGGAGGCCAGAGCAATTTGTTGCTTGTATACCGACTGTTGGTCAGCAGAAAATGGTCTTACTACCTAGTTGCCCGAATGGCAATGAAACAAATAGTGAATAATGAATAAAGAGGTTTGGAGAAAACAATACTAGGAAGATACCTGAATCCTGATGCACATTACTATTATTGCTGTTTTTCATATTGATTCTCATGCATCTCTGCATTCTCTTGACAGACTAAACAGCAGGTAGATCAACAGGCCAAAATTTCCAGCATAAATGCAAACTTGAATGTGGGTGAATGGATTACAACACATTCAAGCCTGGCGATGAGACACATTATAATGTATGGTGGTATAATTGATAATGATTACCAGGAACAGTTAAAGTTCACTTTACACAATACCACTCCACATTCTTTTGTTACAAGACCGCAGATTCGGGTTGCTCAATTGTCAGTGGTACCTGGTACCTTGTTAACAATTAACCCCTGAGGAAATCTCTGCCCCAACAGAGGCTACGTACAGAACTGGGAAATTAAGATCCACTGGTATAGGTAGCTTAAATCCTGGAACGAAAATATGGATACAGCCTCCATCAGATCCCGCCCCTAAGGCTGTGACCTTGTAGGTATGGGAGCAGAAAATAAAAGGGTAGTACAGTTTCCTAAAAATGAAAAACAATATTATGTTCCCCTTCAGTTTTGTTGTTACAGAGAATAACCTGTCTACTAGTAATCAGTACCTGGGTCATCAGGTCTGAGGTGGAGAGTGAATTCATCAACTGGGCAGCAACCACTGCGACAGAAGCTAACCGCAGTCAATGCTGGCTATGCATCAAATTGCCAGAGGCCACAGGAAATGGACTGCCTTGCAGAGTTGTCCTTGCCAATATTTCTGAATGGCTCTGTCACTACAAATGGGGCCAAAACAACAACACTTGCAATCCAACCTGGACTTCCTTTGCTACTTTAATAACATCTTAATACACTATAATTGTAGTATAACCATTGCTGTCCCCTGGGGGGCCCTCTGGGTATGCAGACCCTATGGGTGGCCTATCTGCCCCCTTATTGGATGGGGAGATTCACTTGGGGGTGCCATTAATTCCATTCACCATCCGGGATAATATTCCCTTCCCCAATAATCTAGATGCTTACAAAGGTAGCTGGTTATGAACGTGCCAGACTCCCTGGTGGTGGAAAACTATCACAGTATTCTCCCTTGCCCCTCGTACAATCCTGCTTCAGCAACAAATTAAAATATTAAGTCCACATATAGTAAAAGCTCCTAAGATAGTAGCACTGGACTTCTGTTGTTATCAGAAGAACTTGTTCAGCTGTGTACTGTTGTGTTGCAAAATCGAATGGCATTAGGTATGTTTACCGCAGCCCAAGGAGGGGTTTGAGTCTTGCTGCATTCTGAATGTTGTGTGTATCCCTGACAGTTCTCGCAGTATTACTCTCCTTGCCGAAGACATGCAAGGACAAGTAAAACAGTTAGAATCTAACCATCAGGACCCCATCATGGACTGGCTGTCAAACTAGCATTGGCGTTGGCCGTGGTGGGTGTGGTTTCTATTAATTGTGCTTTTAATTCTCCTCTGCTCTATCTGTAATCTATACCAGTTGTGACTTCCCCGTATAACTGTAAAAATATTTTCCTATGATTCAGTGTCAAATTGAGGCTGAATGAGGAGGAAAAGTTAAATATTAAATTTGAACTCAATGAACATGGACAGAAACAATGGTCACTAAGTCCTGGAACAGGTTGTGTGAACCCCTTGTGGAATTCATCCAGCACTGTTTCTGAGAAATAGTTATTGAAAAACAACAGAAAATCGCAAAAACAAGTAGGCCTTTTCGTTTTCCTTGAGTCCAGTCACGAAGGGCCCTTGTGAGTGGGCCTCATGCCGAACAAATCGTTACAAAAAAAGCTATGGTCCCAGACTGTGCTGAAGCTTAATGAGACCTCTCCTTGTCTGTGCAGGGGTGGGTGGCTGACTCTGGAGTCCAGGCTGACGCTTTCCTATAGGCAAAGCTCAGGGAACAGAGGAGAGTCACATCAAATAGTTGATGAGTCAAGAGATATGTCACAGGGACTCCTGTATGCAGGGTCCAGACAGGAAATCCACATCGTTTTGGTGCTGAGCCCAGCAATATATTACAATGTCTTCTGAGGGAAGAACCAAGGCAAAAAATTAATGTCACTTTGGTGTTAAGCCCAGTGATACATCACAATTTCCACTGCAGGAAGAACCTAGGCAGAAGAGAATAGTTACATCAGCTAGATGGTGCCACCATTGATATGTCACAATCTCCACTTGAACAGGAATCAGTCAGCAGAAGCAAGTCACATCACCTGAGTGATGGGTGCAGAGATAAGTCACAATGTCCCCTGTAGGCAGAGCACAGAAAGGAGAGCTGCATAACCTGGGTGTTGGACCCAGCAATATAGCTTATATGGTAGACCCCTGGCAGAAAAATTACAAAACATGGGTGCAGCACCAAGTATATGTTATAATGTCCCCTGTGAGCAGCACCAAGGCAGGACAGGAGACTCGCATCACTTGGTTGCTAAGACAAGTGATCTGCTACAATCTTCTTTGTAGGCAGGGTGCACACACTTTTTTTAGGTGGTGAATGCAGAGAGATGTCCCAAGGCCCCCTGTGAACAGGGCTCAGGCAGTAGCCATCAATTCCCTAGGTATTATGCCCAGCAGTATGTCACAATATACAAAATATGCAGGGCCCAGGGAAAAGAGGAGAGTCACATCATGTGGGTGCTTGTCCCAGTGATTTGTTACAATCTCTCTTTTTGACAGGACCCAGGCAGAAGAGGGGGGTCATAGGTGCTGGGTTCAATAATGTCACAATTTTATCATGGGCTGGGCTACGCAGAAGAGTCAAGTCACTCACGAGCTGGGCCGAGATATATTTCACAGTTATACCTCCAGGAAAGTCCAGGGCTGAGACTGACAATCCTGCACATGTCCCATATCTAGGTGTGAGAGCAAACACATTGTGTTTGTTGGGTCTAAGTGTAGAAGTCACAGTCTCAATGGTGCACTGGATCTGTGCATGGCAGCTTCAGTCTTTCCCGAGGACCGTGGCCCCTTAATGGAGTCACAGCCTCACGTGTTTGCTGAATGTTGGTTTTAGAGTCACTGACTCAAACATGGATCGCATCCACTTATGAGAGTCAATTATTCATCTCTCAACCGCCTCCAGGTGTGAGATTTGGAACCTCAACAATGGGCTGTGTTCATGTGAAAAGATGACAATTTTTACTCTTGGCTCAGCGTAGATATGAGTGTCACAATCTACTTTTGTTCTGGGCCCTGTCAGGACACTCTCTTCACCATATGCAGCCTTTATAGAGTATGCATGAGTGTAACAATTCTCTCTGAAACCTTAAGCAGGCACGGACCCCTCCTTGTACCTTTAGCTTTAAGCCCTGGTATGACAGTCAACATCTTTCTACTTGGATGGGTCCAAATAAGAGTTCTTAACTGCCTATGAGCTGCGTTTAAAAATGAGTCACCATCCCACCTGTGGCTGGATGTTCACATATGAAAGTCACAATCCCAGTTGTGGACTGTGTCTGCATGTGTAATTCAGGACCTCAAGAGTGGGCTCTCTCCACGTGTGATAGAGACCATCCTGAATATTGGTGTGGTGTGCATCTGAGAAGTATAATCTCACCAGTGTGGCGAGCCCTGTGGTGACAATTTCTCTACCATAGTTTACACAATATGCAAGACAGTGGTACTCCTCCGTGTGACGTATCACTGGGCCTTGCACACAGGTAATGTGAGTCTCCTCTCCTGCCTTGGAACGCTCACAGGAGGCATTGGGTCATACCACTGAAGCTGATATTCAGGTTATGTGCCTGTCTTTCCTGTGCTCTGTCCATGGGCTTTTGTGACATATTTCTGGGTCCAAAACACAGGTGACATAACTCTCCTGTCTGAACTCTGCCTAGAGAGGGCATGGTGGCATATCTCTGCACCAGCCACTAGATGATGTGACTCTATCTTCTGTCTAGTCTCTGCCTACAGGGTGAATTGTGACTTATCACCCGGCGCAGCATTTAGCTAATGTGACTCTTCCCTTTTTTCAGGTTCTGCCCTCGGGGGAGATTGTGACATATCGATTTGTAAAACACCAAAATGATTTTACTCTTTTATCTTGGCTCTGCCCTCAGAAGGCTTTGGGATATATTGCTGAACAAGCACCAAGGTAATGTGATTGTCCTACCTGAACCCTGCCCACAGGGAGCATTGTGACATATCTCTGAGCCCATGAACTATTTGATATGGCTCTATTCTCTTACCTGGGCTTTCGCCATGAGAAAGATTGTGAAGTATTTCTTGGTCCAGTGCTTAGGTAATGTGATTCTCCTCTCCAGCCTGAGACATGCCCACAGAAGTAAGAGTGACATCTCTGGGCCTAGCCCACAGGTGATGTGAACCTTATCCCTTGTTTCTGCCCAGGGGAGTCATTGTGATGTATCTCTGAGACCATTATTAGAATGATGTGACTCTCCTGTTCTTACTGCGACCTGTCCACAGTGGGGATGATGATGTATCACTTAGGCCAGCACATATGTGGTGTGACTCTCTTTTCATGCCTGTGCCCTGCCCCCTGGGTTAATTGTGACATATAACTGGGCCCCTCCCATAGGTTATGCAACATATCCCTGTGATAACACTCTTTGTACCATTTAAGAGCTTTATATAATATGAGAGAGTTGTATTCCTCTAAGACCTTCATACAAAACGAAGAGTTAAGACCTACCGGTTTTCCAAAGCCTCCCTATGAAAAACAGTATTTCTCTTAGTGGCAGGTTTGAGGTATGAGAGTCATTATTACACCTGTGAGCTGGCCAAGATATATGTTTCAATCTCTTCTGTGGGAAGGGAGTGAGCAGGAGAGTCACGTCACCGGGATGCTTGGCCTGAGATCTGTCAATATCTTCCCTGATGGCAGGGAACAGGTAGGAGAGTCACATACCTAAGGCTGGGCCAGGGATATGTAACAATGTTTTCTGAGGTCAGAGGCTAGGAGGGGAGTCCCATCACTTGTGTGCTCACAGGGGATATGTTACAATCCCCTCCTGAAATCAGAGTACAAGCAGCAGAGTCAAATCACCTGAATATTGAGCTCAGTGATATGTCACCACACTCCCTGTGGGCAAGGCCATAGCAGGAGAGAAACATCACCTGATTACTGATTACTGGGCCCAGTGATATGTCAGAATCTTTCCTGTGGGCAAGGTGCAGGCAGAAAGGAGAGTCACATCATCTGGTGTTGGAAGCAGAAATATGCTACAAGGCTCACTGTGGACAGAGTTCAGGCAGGAGCCTCTAATCTCCTAGGTGTTAAGTTCAGTGATACGTTACAATGCTCCCTGTGGGCAGCACGAAGTCAAGAGAATAGAGCCACATCACCTATGTTCTAGGTCCAATGATATGTCCCAATTTTATTTGTGAGCTGGGCTTAAACAGAAGAGTCTAATCACTCAGGTGCTGGACAAATGTGTATGCTTGTCACAATGACACCTGCAGGAAAGTCCAGATATGGGATGAATCCCGCACATATTCTGGTTTTATGCATGAGAGTGAACACCTTCTGTATGTTTGATCTAAGTACACAAGTCACTATCTCAATAGTGGACTAAATTTGTGCATGGCAGCCCCATTTTCTCTTGCGTACTTTGTCCCCTAATTGAAATCACAGCTTCCTAGGTGTGCTGACTCATGATCTGAGAGTCATCAACACATCTGTGACTCTCAAATATGAGAGTCAATTTTTCAACTTTTCAATCTGCCTTTGGGTATGGGATTCAGAGCCTCAAAAGTGAACTATGATCATGTGAAAGAACGACAATCTTTAATGTTGGCTGGGTGTGCATCCCAATGTCATTATATTACTGTGTGCTGAGCCCTATTAGGACTTTCTGTGTTGCACCTGACGGCTTTATGTTGTATGCATGACAGTCTCAATTCTTTCAGAGATTTTCATGCTGGTATGGACCCATGATCAAACCTGTGGCCCTAAGCCTATATATGAGTCAACATCTTTACAATTGGCGGGGTCCAGATAAGAGAGTCATCAGCTTTCTATGCGCTGGGTTTATAACGAAGTTCCCATTCCAACTCTGGCCAGATCTTTACATATGAGATTCGCAATTCCAACTATAAACTGCATTCATGTGTGAAATTCAGGACCTCACCAGTGGGTTCTGTTTATATGTGAGGGTGAAAATCATAATGGTCAGGAGGGTTCAGGGTGCGCATAGGAGTAACAAATTTCACCTGTGTGCTGGGCCCTGTGATAAGACTCTCTACCACCTGAGGACTTTCTGTAATATATGAGAGAGTGGATGATCTTAGCGAGGAGACCCAGGGTTTTTTTTCATTTCCCTAAGTGTAGCTAGGAGAAGCAGTATCTCTTCTATTGGCTGGTTTGACATATGAATGTCATCATTGCACCTGTGTGTTGTGTTCCAAGATATATGTAACAATTACACCTGCATATAGGAAGAGAGCAGGAGAGTAAAATCAGTTGGATGCTGGGTCAGTGATATGTCGCTTCCCTGAGGACAGGGACCAGTCAACAGTCACATTACCTGAATGTTCAGGCATTGGTATGTTGCAATCCACTCCTCACATTAGGAACGAGGCAGCAGAGACACATCACCTGCATGCTGGATCTAGCAATATTTCACAATCCTCTCTGTGGTCAGGATGCAGGCAGAAGAGTCACATCTTCTTGGTGATGAATGCAGAAATATGTCACAAGCTTCACTGCACGTAAGGTAGAGGAATAAACCTCTTATTCCCTAAGTGTTGGGCCCAGGGATATGTCACAATACCCAAAATATGCAAACCCAGGCAAAAGAGAACAGTCACATTACCTTGGTGTTAGGGTCAGTGATATGTCACAATCCCCTCTTTTGGAAGGGCCCAGGTAAGAGTGGAGAGTCACATCGCCTAGGCAATGAATAGAAGAGTATGTCATAATACCCCTGTTGGCAAGACCTATGCAGAAGAGTCACATCACCTATGTGTTCAACCCAGATATATGTTACTGTACACCATGTATGCAGGGCCCAGGCAAGAGAAAAGGCCACATCACCTCGGTTCTGGGCCCAGCAATATATCACAATTCCCCCTAAGAGGAGGTAACAGACAGCAGAGTCACATCACCTAAGACTGAGGAGCAGAGCTATATGGTAGTTCCCTGTGTGTGTGGGCCCAAAAATAGAGGAGAGTTACATCACCTGAAGACTGTACCCAGCTATAAGTCTTAATCACCCCTGTGGCCAGCACCCAAGCATGAGAAGAGAGTACCATCATGTAGGTGCTGTGCCAGGCTGTATTTCACAATCTCCACTATGGATAGGTTTCAGGGGGAAGAGGAGCATTACATTATCTAGTTGATGAGTCTAGAGATATGTCAAAATGACCCCTCTGGAGACACCAGGATGCAGAATCACATGACCTGTGTGCTGGGTCTAGGAATAACCCACTCTCCCTTCTGTAAACATGGCCATGGCAGAAGATGAGGGTCACATATTTAAGGTGATGAACACGGAAAGATTTCACAAGGCTCCCCATAGGCAAGACCCAGGCAGGACTTTCCCTTCCCTCAGTTGTTGGGAGGAGAAATACATCACAATGTGGGGCTCAAGCAGAAAACAAAAGAAATATCCCCTATTTTCAGGGCTCAGAATTATGTCACAATCTCTCCTATGGGCAAAGCCTTTGTTAAAAAAGGAGAATCTTGTCAAATAGTTGATGGGCTCAGAGATATGTCCCAATGCCATATGTTACAAATTGCTGTAGGCAGGCTTCAGGCAGGAGACTCACCTTGGTGTTGGGCCCAATAATGTGTCACAGTGCTTTCTGCTTGCAGAGCACAGTCAACAGAGTAATGTCACTGAGAAGTTGGACCCACCAATGTATCACAATCTCCTTCCAAACAAATCCTAAAAAACAAAAGAAGAGTAACATGAGATAGGTGCTGGGCACAGTGATATGTCACAATCCTTTCTTTAAGCAGGGACTAGGCAGGAGAAGAAAATCACGCCACATGGGTGATGGGCTCATAGATATTTCACAATGTCCCCTTAGGCAAAGCTCAGGAAGGAGAGGTAAATCATCTAGGTTTTGGATGCAACAATATGTCAAAATGGCCATTGTGGACTGGGCACAGGCAGAAGAGTCACATAACATGGATGTGGGACCCAGCAATACATCACAACACCCCTGTGAGTAGCACTAATGCAAGGCAGAAAACATACATTACCTAGGTGCAAGGCCAAGTGATATGTCCCAATGTCCCCTGTGGGCAGCACCAAGGCAGGAGATAAGAGTCACATCATTTAGGTGCTGGCTTCAGTGATATATCAGAATCCCATCTGTGAGCTGGACACAGGAAACAGAGCTAAAACACTCAGGAGCTGGGCAGAGATGTATGTCACAATCCCACCTGCAGAAAGCGACAGGGATGAGATGAACAACTCCACACATGTCCGGATTCCAGGTATGAGAATTTGTATGTTTGGCCTAGGTACAACAGTCCCAATCTCAACAGTGAACTGGATTCATAAATGAGTCTTCTCTGGCTGAGAAGAACTTCTCCCCTTAGGAGAGTTACAGTCTCACAGATGTAATGAATTTTGGTTTGAGAGTCACCCACCTACCTGTGGACAAGATCCATATATGAGAGTCAATTTTCTCTTTCTTTCTTTCTTTCTTTCTTTCTTTCTTTCTTTCTTTCTTTCTTTCTTTCTTTCTTTTTTCTTTCTTTCTTCTTTCTTTCTTTCTTTTTCTTTCTTTCTTCCTTCCTTCCTTCTTTCTCTTTCTTTCTTCTTTCATTCTTTCTTTTCCTTTCTTTCTTTCTCTTTCTTTCTTTCTTTCTTTTCCTTCCTTCCTTCCTTCCTTCCTTCCTTCCTTCCTTTCTTTCTTTCTTTCTCTCTCTCTCTCTTTCTTTCTTTCTTTCTTTCTTTCTTTCTTTCTTTCTTTCTTTCTTTCTTTCTTTCTTTCTTCTTTCGGTCCCTTGAGACGGAGTCTCACTCTATCGCCAGGCTGGAGTGCAGTGGGGCGATCTCGGCTCTCTGAAACCTCTGCCTCCTGGGTTCAAGCAACTCTCTTGCCTCAGCTTCCCGAGTAGCTGGGATTGCAGGTATGTGCCATGACGCTCAGCTAATTTTTGTATTTTTAGTAGAGATGGGGTGGACAGGCACAGTGTCCCATGCCTGTAATCCCAGCACTTTGGGAGGTCGAGTTGGGTGGATCACCTGAGGTCAGGAGTTTGAGACCAGCCTAATCAATATGGTGAAACCCCGTCTCCACTAAAAACACAAAAATTAGCTGGGAATGGTGGCATGAGCCTGTACTCCCTGCTACTCGGGAAGCTGAAACAAGAGAATTGTTTGAACCCGGGAGGCGGATGTTGCAGTAAGCCTAGATGGTGCCACTGCACTCCAGTCTGGGTGACAGAGCAAGACTCTGTCTCAAAATAATAATCATAATCATAATCATAATCATAATCATAATCATAATCATAAATAGTAGAGAGACGTGGTTTCACCATGTTGGCCAGGATGGTCTTGATCTCCTGATCTCATGATCTGTCCGCCTCGGCTTCCCAAAGTGCTGCGATTACAGGTGTGAGCCACTGAGCCACGCCGGTTGTGCCCATTTTTGAGGATGGCAACTTTTATTGTCACCAGAGTGTGCATGAGTGTTAGAATCTCACCTGTTTGCTGGGCCCTGTTAGGACACTATGTACCTCCTGTGGGCCTTGTAGAGTATGCATTAAACATAATCCACTCTGAGGTCTTCATGCTGATATGAACCTATGATCATACCTGTGGCCATAAGTCCAGGTATGAGAGTCAACATCTCTCCAGCTGGCTGGATCCAGATAAGAGGATCTTTACTTGGCTGTAAACTGGGTTCAGAAATAAGTCACTATCCCCACTGTGACTGGATGTTCACAAATGATAGTTACAATTCCAACTGTGGACGGCATTCAGGTATGAGGTTTAGACCTCCCTAATCACCTCTGTTCCTGTGTAGGAATGAGAATTCTGATGATTGGTGGGTGTGCACACAGAGAACACAATCTCACCTGTGTTCTGGGCCCTGTGATGACACTGTACCATCTGAGTGCTTTACAGGATATGCAAGAGTGCTTACTTTCTCTGACCTTCATAGTAAGAGAAGACCCATAATTTTGCAAGTTTTGTTAAGCCTGGCTGTGAGAGAAAGTATCTCTGCTATTGGTTGGTTTAAGGTATGAATGTCATCGTCACACCTACATGCTAAGCCAAAATATATGTGACAATCTCACATTTGGGTAGTCAGAAGCAGGACAGTCTCATCACCTGGGTCTGTGTCAGGGACATGTTGCAGTCTTCCCTGAGGACAGGGACAAGGCAAGAGAGTCACATCCCTAAGAGTTCTGCCAGGGATATGTTCTTGTTCCCTCCTGAAAGCACGACACATGCAGCAGAGTCACCTCACCTGGGTTCTGGGCCCAGT
This sequence comes from Homo sapiens, assembly GCF_000001405.40. NCBI lineage: Eukaryota > Metazoa > Chordata > Mammalia > Primates > Hominidae > Homo > Homo sapiens. The sequence goes on along the minus strand of NC_000021.9, from coordinate 7,489,695 downwards.
GATATGTCACAATTTTCCCTGTGAACTAAGCACAGGCAGGTGAAACACATCACCTGTTTGCTGGGCCCAGAAATATGCTACAATTTTTCTTGTGAGCAGGGTTCAGGCAGAAATGGGGGGGGATCATATTTTCTAGGTGATAAATGCAGAGCTATGTCACAAGGCCCTCAGTAGTCAGGGTCTTGGTAGAAGCTTCCTATTGACTAGGTGATTCGCACAGTGATACATCACAATAGCTAAATTATGTGGGGCCCAAGGCAAAGAGGAGAGTTGCATCACCTAAGTGATGAACAAAAAATACTTCATAGTACCCATGGGGAAATGGCCCATGCAGGTGAGTCACCTTACCTACGTGTTGGACCCAGTGATATGTCACAATACACAATAAATGTAGGGCGCAGCCAAGAGCGGACAGTCAAATAGCTCAGGTGCTGGGCCCGGTGATACATTGTAATCTCTCTTTGGTCAGAGCCCTACAGTAGAAGAAACTCAGTTCACCTCGGTGCTGAGGTCAGCCATATGTCACAATACCCCTGAGAAATGAGCCCAGGCAAAGAGTCACTACATTTAGGTGAGAGGCCCACAGATATTTTGCAATGGCTCCTGTGGGTAGCACTCTGTAAAAAGACAGTCACATTACCTAGAGTCTGCCCGCAACGATTTGTAACAATCCCTGCTATAAACAGGTAGCAGTCAGGAGAAGTGAGTGCCATCACCTGGGTGGTCAGTGTAGAGATATGTCACAATGCCCCCTGTAGGCAAAGTCTAGACAAGAGTTACATCACCTGGGTGTTGGACCCAGCAATATGTCACAATGGCTCATGTGGGCAAAGCACAGGACAGAGTCACATAACAAAGTGCCAGGACCAGTGTTAGGTCAGGATACCCATTATGGGCAGTGCCAAGACAGGAGAATAGAAGCATATTAATTAGATGCTGGATTCAAGGATATATCACAATCTCATCTGTGGGCTACACCCAGGCAAAAATGTCAAATCACTCAGGAGCTGGCTAGAGGTGTACGTCAGAATCACACCTGCAGGAAGGTCCATGGATGAGATTAACAATCCCACATAAGTTCCGGTTCTGGGTATGAGAGTGAACGCCTCCTGTATGTTGCATCTATGTGCATAAGTCACAATCTCAATGGAGGAATGGGTTTTTTCCATGAGAGCCTTAATCCCTTTTGAAAACGGAGTTATCTTAGTGGATTCACAGCCTCACAAGTGTTTTGGATCTTGGTCAGGGAGTCACAAACCCACTTAAGGACAACATCCACTTTTAAGAGCCAATTTTCCAACTTTTGACTGCCTCTGGGTGTGAGTTTCAGAACCTCAATTATGGTCCATGTTCGTGTGGGAGAATGACAATTTTGACAGATGGCTGGGCTCAGGCAGGAGCCTTTCATCCTGCAGGTGTTGAGACAAAGGATATGATACAACACCTAAAATATGCTGGGTGCAGGCAAAAGAGGAGACTCATATTAGCTGGTTGCTAGGTCCAGTTATATGTCACCACCTCCCTTTTTGGCAGGGCTAAGGAAAAAGAGGAGAGTCAGAGCTAAAGAAATGTCATAATGTCCCTGTGGGTAGGGTCTATGCATAAGAGTTGCATCACCTAGTCATTGAACCCAGCCATATATTAGAATACATAATGTATACAAGGCCCAGGCAAGAAAGGAGAGAATATCACATAGGTACTGTGTCCAGCAATATGTCACCATACCCCCCAGAGGGGAGGCTCCAGGCAACAGGGCAACATTACCTAAGTGAAGTGCCCAGAGAGATGTTTCAATGCCCCTGGTGGGTAGGATTTTGAAAAACGAGAAGTTACAGAACCTAGGGGCTAGGCCTAGCTATGTGTCACATTCATCTCCAAGACAGAGCCCAGACATGAGAGAAAAGTCACATGATGAAGGGCATGTAATATGTCACAATCCTTATGTGAGCAGGCCCTAGGAAGAAGTAGAGAGTCACATAGTCTAGATGATGGGCCCAGAGACATTTGACAATGACTCCTGTAGGTAGGGACCAGGCAGAAGAATCACATCACCCCTGTGCTGTGCCCAGTTATAAGTCACACTTCCTTCTGTGGGCATGCCCCAGGCAGGGAGAATTCACATCATCCCAGTGCTAGACCCAGGGATATGTCACAATCTCTCTTATGGGCAATGCTCTGGTAAGAGAGGAGAGTTGCATCAAATAGGTGATGCACCCAGAAGTATGTCACGATGCCTTCTGTGAACTCGATCCAGGCAGAAGATTCACATCAACATCAACTTGGTGCTAAGCCCAGCAACGTGTCACAATCCCTTCTGTGTAAAGGGACCAGGCAGGAGAAGAGAATCACATCACCTGGCTGATGAGCACAGAGATATGTCACAATGCCCCTGTAAGGCAGGGCCCAGGCTGTTGGGTTACATAGCCTGAGTAGTGGACCCAGCAATATTAACACAGTGTCCCATATGGGCAGTGCACAAGCCGGAGAGTCACATAACCTGGATGCGAGGCCAAGCTATATATAACAACGCTTCCTGAGGGCAGCGCCAAGGCAGAAGAGGAGACTCACATCACCTGGGTGTAAGGTCTAGCGATATGTCAAACTGCTCACTGTGGGCAGTGCCAAGGAAGGAGAATAGAGTTACATCCTCAATGTGCTGGATCCAGCAATATGTTAATATCCCATCTGTGGGCTGGGTCCATGCGAGCCCGTCAAGTCACTTAGGTGCTAGGCACTGGGAAATTTCACAATGGAAGCTGCAGAATGGTCCAGGAATTAGATTAACAATCCCACAGCTGTCTCAGTGGTAGGCATGACATTCAACACCTCCTGTATGTTGGGTCTAAGCCCAAGAGTAACCATCTCAACACCAGACTGGATTTGCGCATGACAGCCTCAATTCCTCTGCAGACTGACCTGTGTTCCCGTGAGAGGATGACAATAGTTACTGTTGGCTGGGTGTGCATATGAGTGTGACAATCTCACCTGTGTGCTCGGCCCAGTTAGCACGCTCTGTGTACTACCCAATGGCCCTATACAGTATGCATGAGAGTCGTAATCAACTTTGAGACCTTCCTAATGGTAGGGACCCATGATCATACTTGTAGCATTAGGCCCAGGGATGAGAGTCAACATCATTACAATTAACTATGTCAGGATAGGAGACTCATCCCTTGCCTATGAGCTGAGTTTAGATGTGGGCCACCATTTTAACTCTGGTTGAATGTTTATATATGAACACAGGCCTAGCACCAATGTGATGTGAGTCTTTGGCCTAGACACTTCAAGCAGGAGGCAATGTGACATATCTCTGGGTCTATCAACTATTTGATATGACCTTCCTTTTTTACCTGAGCTTTCCCCATAAAAGAGATGTGACATATGTCTAGACCCAGCACCTGGGTGATGTGGCTCTTCTTTATTGACTGAGCCCTGTGTATTTTGGGTATTCTGACATATCCCTGTACCTAACTTCTGGAAGATAAGAAGATCCAACATGGGCCCTGCCTAAAAAGTCTCTTGTGACAAATTTCTACATGAATCACCTTGGATATTTGACTCTTCTCTCTTACCTGAGCTTTGCCCATAAGAGAGATTGTTACGTACCTCTGCAGCAAGCACCTAAATGCCGTGACTCTTCTTTCTTGCCTGGGTCATGCCCACAGATGAAAGGTGGCTTATCGCTGTGTCCAGCACACCGGTTATGTGATTATGCTGCCTGATCTCTTCTCACAGGAGCTGTTGTGACAAATCCCTGGGCCCAGAAATTATTTAATACGACTCTCCTCAATGACCTTAACTTTGTGCATGGGATAAATTGTGACATACCTCTGGATCCAGCACCGAGGTGATGCGACTCTCCTTTTCTGCATGGGCTATGCTTACAAGAAGGAGGCTGACTTATTGCTGTGTTGACAACTGATGTGATACCTCTGTTCTTGTCTTCCTAGATTTTAAGAATTTAAACAAGAGACACAAAGAAAAAAAGTACAGCATAATTTATTGGAAAAGAAAATATTTGAAAGTTAAGTGCAGAATACAGTACACCCTGAGAGAGATACTCCAGGGCTGACTGCTCATAAGAGTGAGACAGCGTGGACTGTCGCTGGAGAAACCCCTTTATGGCAGTTTTACATTATTATTAATAAGGAGGAGGGAAGAGGAGTTGCTAGTAAACATGTTCTCTGTGGTATTCTGGGTGCATATGCGCAGTAGCTGTACATGCTTGTTCATATGTTGCATGTCTCGTTAGCATCTTATATTTCCACCCAGGAGTGTATTTCTGTGTGTTTGTTTGTTTGTTTGTTTGAGACAGAGTCTCGCCGTGTTGCCCAAGCTGGGGTGCAGTGGTGTGATCTCTGCTCACTGCAACCTCTGCCTCCTGAGTTCAAGCCATGCTCGTGCCTCTGCCTCCTGAGTATCTGGGATTACAGGCATGCACCATCATACCCTGCTAATTTTTGTATTTTTAATTTAGACGGGGTTTCTCTATGTTGGCCAGTTTAGTCTCGAGCTTCTAGTTTGAAGTGATCCATCTTCCTCAGCCTCCCAAAGTGCTGAGAGTAGAGGTATAAGCCACCGTGCCTGGCTAGGGGGTGCATTGTTTGCTATTAAAATAAGCAAAATTTAAGTTTGAGGGCAGGTGAAATCAAAATACACATGCTCTCTAGAACAGAAAGTCCTTAATGAGGATAGCTTTGCTCGAATAAGCCCAATTACAATGCGAATGCTACGGCTTATTGTGTTGGCTGTACAGTCACCATGGTTTCTGTATCCTGAGATCATGGTCATTTTCTGTACTATCTATTCTGCCTCAATTTCCCCCTAAGAGATTTTAGGGCAATAACCATATTGGAGGTTGAGGGGTTAGACCACTTTTTCTGGAGCTGTTTCCTGCTGAGTGGGTGTTACTTCTGCCTAGCCTGGGCCTTAAAGTTTCTTCCTGTGTGATCTAACAGGGTGTAAACCATGTCATTCGTGGAACCAGTGGGAAGATGTTGGCAGCCAAAGATTGAAAGCCTTGCAAACCATCATGCAAACATGGAGCTGCCACAAGCAACATAGCAGGAAATCAGTTAACATTTTAAACAAAATTGGAACAAAAGTAGAAGTTGAAAATATAATAATGACGGGTACTATTAAAGAGAGCAAGGCAGGCAATGGACATTGCTTTCATGTTCCCATGGAAGTTCCTAGAGATTCAATTTTGTCTGCCTGGGTGATGATATTATTAATATTTTCTTGGAATAAACCAGAATGATTGATCTCAAAAAACAGCATTCTTCTTTTAGATATAAACATGTTCCTCTTTGCTTGGCTGGGAGAAGATCCCAGGCTCTTTGATTTTGTTGGAATGCAGTGGCCATGGAGTCCAGATGTTGTTGAAGTCTATTGAGGCCCTCTGCTGCCTGTTGGGGACACACTGAGATTTTCTGAGATAGTTTATACTGGATTCCCAAGGCTCCACCTTATGGTGACATTTGTGCTGCAAAAGTATTCTGCTTTAAAATGGTGAAAGCAGCAAAAGTTTTAAGTCTTTTCTATTTTTCGCAAATAAGAAAAAGTTTTGTGCAGCTGAGTTGGCAGCAGTCATTGGGTCCATTTATGGATGGTAAAGTTGAATGGTGGTCAAAGTTAGAGACTGGAAGGCTTCAGTAAACGCGCTGAAGTTGTCTGAGAGCCATCAGAGCTGTTGCTTACATTGGATTAGATCATTTACTGGGAAGAGAAGAAGCACTCTGATGGTCCTCTCTCCATTTGAGACTTTCTGTAAGCGGATCAAATTCTCTGGCCCTGCATGGTGTGAAGCTCCACTGTGAGTAACTGCAGCTGGACTGGTCTCTATTGTAACTGGCAAAGGCTGATAGAGGAGCATAAGGAGGAGGTGAAACAAGCTTAGATTCTACAGAAGACTCTGATAGTGTGGGGACGCTGGGGATTCTAAAGCAGGTGTAGGCCTCTGAGGGCCCCTATCTGGAGCTGGTATTAGGCTGTGGGGTCTGGGGTCACTTGTCCATAAAACAAATGATCTTCTACTGGATCTGAGGGGCTTTGTGGCTTACTAGGCTTTAGCCCACAGGTGCTGCATGGAGCTGGGTTTTGTTGTCGGGCCAGAAAGTCTTGCACATAGGATACTTCAGACCATTTTCCCTGATTACTACAGAAAAGATCTAGCTGTATGATGGTGTTAAATTTCACAGTCTCATTCTCCAGCCATGTTTTGTCAGCTAATCTGTATGCAGGCTAAATAGTTTTACAAAAGAAGATAATTGTTTTTTTGCTTCATTTAGCCAAAAGCTGTTTCAATTTTTAAATATACATCCCAGGTGTGTTTCAGTGACAGTAGAGGAAGTGATTCCCATGGTGCCGAGAGAATCCTGCAAACGACAGAACATGTACTAAAGTCCAGGAGGCTGTGGGCAGCCCCATGAGCCAAGTGGAACCACCAAGTTGTCCAACTCATCCCCTTGAAACCCCATTAACTGAAGCTCTAGGAGGTCATAGGCATTTGCCATGCACCGTCCTAGCTCTCACCAGCGCTGGACATCTCCAGCCCTGCCGAGATGACCCCCACTGCTCGCTGGGGGGCAGATGTCTGGCTGACAAGCCTTTCCCTAATTCAGTGGTTTGCCATTTATGATGCCCAATTATAACACCTGCAATGCTCAGATTCAATCCCTATGACTGGGCCTATCCATGACTGTGCATCTTTTGTTCAGCAAAGAAAGCCTGTTGAAGAACAATTTCAAGGAGCTGGGAAATGCATAAAGCCTAAAGGGACAGGGTTTCCCCAGAACTTTAGTGAAACAGTGCTGGAAGAACCAGCGATAGTTAACCAGGTAGTCTGGAAGTGCCACAGTATTCACGGCAAGTAAAGGGAAAGTGAAATCAGTGAAGCGGACAGACCTCTCTCCAGGCCATGGCAAAAGAAATGTTGATGGCTGATGTAATACCTTGATTCTTATTTTCTTAGTTTAAAAGAATTCAAACAAGAAACACACAGCAAAAGAAGTACAGCATAGAGTAATTTATTGCACACAAAAAAAGAAAAGACTACTTTGAAAATTAAGTGCAGAATAGACGGTACATTCTGAGAAAGAGATTCCAGGGCAGGCTGCTCATAAGAGTGAGACACCATTAATTGTTACTGGAGAAACCCTCCTTCTGGGGGTTTTGCACGATTATTCATAAGAAGGTGGAAAGAAGTGTTAGTGTAAGCATGTTTTGAGTGGTCTTCTGGGTGCACATGTGCACTAACTGTACATATTTGTGCATACATTGCATGTCTCATTAGCATCTTAAGTCTCCACCTAGGAATGTGTTTTTACTATTAAAATGAGCAAAAGTTCAGTTTGAGGACAGATAAAATCAAAATGCACATGTTCTCTAGAAGTAAAAGTCCCTACTGAAGATAGCGGGTTTCAAACGACCCCAAGTGCTCCACATCTTAAATGTCGCTCCAACAAAGCTGGAACACTATCTGCTCCTGAGGGATCCGGTCCCATTTGTGTTTCTGAGACACTGGCAAGTCAGGAGTGACTTGAGATGAGACCGATGATTTCAAGTGTAAAATGCCTAAATAGTCAGCAGCTTCAGGTTTCATTTTGGAGCTTGTCCACTTAAATGGGTTGATGAAAATGGCTCACAAGACTCATGCCTCGGAAATGGGGTTTTCTCCTTTGCTCTTAGCAGATTTTGTGCAACCCAATAATTAACCTTCCTGATGCCTCAACTTTCACATTCGTGAAAAAGGCGCCATTGACAGTGACATTTCCAGGAAGCCACAGACCTTGTCACCCCCTACAGAATTCTGAAGCTGTTCATAAGCAGGCCACGTGGAAGATTTCTCTCAAAAGCTGTTGAGCATGAGGCTTGGCTAGAGAAAAAAGAGGGCTGCGGCACAATGGACAGTGTCTCAGACATCAGGACAGTTTCCACAGCAGTTTAGGAAAGAAGGCAGCGCCCTGGGCTGCAGAAGGCGCAATGCTCTGGGAAGAACCCTGGGTGCAGCTGAAAGAGGAACTTGAGAAGGATAGGGCCAATCAGTTGAGGACAACCCGCCCGATTTGGGCAAAGGTAAGGTGCCTATGTAGGGTAATACCCTCCTCAATGCTCAGCGCAGACCTGTCCTCTAGGTCCACCTATGTACTCATTCTCCTTGGCAAAGAGTCGGCATAGCATAAGAACTCAGCAGTGCTTTGGACACCGGGAAGTCCACACCGCTCTGCCCCTCCCTCCAGGGCTATGCACCCCGGGTCCCGGTACATGCTGTGATTATAGTTCTGAAGCCTACCGACAAACAGGCTGAGAGCAGTTAACAGACTACAGCTCCCAGCATATTAGGTAGGGCGTGTACCACTCGGCCCCTTCTTCCAGGCCTGTACCTCGCCCCCGAGACTGGCACATGCTGGGATTGTAGTCCTGTAGCCCTTTGACCAAAGGGCTGGGAGTGTTTATAAGAATACATCTCCCAGCAAGCCGAGGGAGACGCACACAGCCCCGCCTCTTTCTCCACTGACGGGCCGTGTCCCTGACCCCAGTGCATAATGGGATGGTAGTCCTGCAGCCCTGTGACACAAGTTCTGGTAGTCTTTATGAAACTACATCTCCCAGCAAGCAGAAGGAGGCATCCACATCCTAGACTTTTCCTCCAGTAATGCGCACTCTCCCTGAGCCGGGTGCATGCTGGGATTGTAGTCCTGCAGCCCGGTGATGAGAGGTCTGGGAGTGTTTATGAGACTGCAACTCCCACCAAGCCCAGAGAGGCGTGCACAACCCTGCCTCTTCCTCCAGTGACGCGCACATTCCCTGCGCCCGGTCCATGCTAGGATTGTAGCGCTGCAGCCCAGTGACCAAAGGGCTGGGAGTGTTTATGAGACTGCATCTCCCAGCAAGACCAGCGAGGTGTGCAGAGCCTCGCCCCTTTCTCCACTGATTAGCGCACTCTCCCTGATCCCGATGTATGCTGGGATTGTAGTGATGCAGCCCAGTGACCAAAGGGCTGGGAGTGTTTACGAGAATACGTATCCCAAAAAGCATAGCGAGAACAGCACAGGTCCACCTCTTCCTACAGTGACGCGCGTTGTCCCTGAGCAGGATGCATGCTGGGATTGTAGTCCTGAAGCCCTGTGACCAAAGGGCTGGGAGAAATAAAGAGACAACATCTCCCAGAAAGCCCAGCAAGGCGCTCACACGCCTTTCTCTTCCTCCAGTGAGGCGGACTGCCCCGGCGCCCCGTGCATGCTGGAATTGTAGTCCTACAGCGATGTGATGAAAGGGCTGGTAGTGTTTATGAGACTACCTCTCCCAGCAAGCCCAGAGAGGTGCGCACAGACCTACCTCTTCCTCCAGTGACTAGTGCACTCTCCCTGAGCCAGAGATATGCTGAAATTGTACTGCTGCAGCCCTGCGACCAAACGACTGGGGTAGTTATGAGACTGCATCTCCCTGCAAGCCCAGCGAGGCACGCACAGCTCCACGTCTTCCTCCAGTGATACACACTGTCCATGAACCCGCTGCATGCTGGCATTGTAGTCCTGCAGCCCTGTGACCAAAGGGCCAAGAGACCACATCTCCCAGAAGACCTAGGGAGACGCACACAGCTCCGCATCTTTTCCCCGTGTCGCATACTGCTTTGATCCCGATGCATCCTGGGATTGTAGTCCTGTAGCCCTGTGACAAAAGGTCTGAGAGTCTTTATGAAACAACATCTCCCAGCAAACGCAGCGAGGTGCGCACAACCTGCCCCTCTTTCTGCAGTGATGTGGACTCTCCCTGAGCCCCGTGCATGCTGGGATTGTAGTCTTATAGCACTGTGACCATAGGGCAGGGAGAGGCCATGGGACTACATCTCCCAGGAAGCCCAGCAAGGCGCACACTGCCCTGCCTCTTTCTCCTTAGACTAGCGCACTGTCACTGAGCTGGGTGCATGCTAGGATTGTAGTCCTGCAGCCTTATGACCAAAGGGATGGGAGTGTTTATGAGAATACATCTCCCAGTACGCCCAGGAGGTGCACACAGCCCTGCCTCTTCCTGCAGTGATTAGCGCACTATCCCTGAGCTGGGTGCATGTTGGGATTGCAGTCCTGGATCTCTGTGACCAAAGGGCTGGGAGCGTTAATGAGACTACATCTCCCAAAAAATCACAGCTAGAAGCGCAAAGCCCTCCCTCTTCCTCCAGTGACGCGCGCTGTCCCTGAGCCCAGTGCATGCTGGGGCTGGAAGTGTAGTCCTTCAGGCCTGTGATGAAAGGGCTGGGAGGTTTTATGAGAATACAACTCCCAGCAAGCCTGGCGAGTAGCACACAACCCCGCCTCTTCCTCCACTGACGCACAATTTCCCTGAGCCCGGTGCTGGCTGGGATTGTAGTCTTCCGCCTCTTCCTCCAGTGACAGGCACTGTCTCTTAGCCAGGTGCATGCTGGGATTGTAGTCTTCCCGCCCTATGACCAAAGGGTTGGGTATGTTTATGAGAATACATATCCCACCAAGTCCAGCGAGGCGTGCACAATCCCGCCTCATTCTGCAGTTACGCGCACTATCCTTGATCTTGGTGCATACTGGGATTGTAGTCCTGCTGCCCTGTAATGAAAAGTCTGGGTGTCTTTATGAAACTACATCTCCCAGGAAGCCAAAGGAGGCGCGCAAAACTGTGTCTCTTCACCCAGGCACATGCACTATCCCTGATCCCGGTGCATGATGGGAATGTAGTCCTGCAGCCCTGTGACCAAAGGGCTGGGAGTGTTTATGAGACAGCATCTCTCAGCAAGCAAAGCAAGGCCTGCACAGCCCCGCCTTTTCCTCCAGTGAGGCGCACTGTTCATTAAGGAGTGTTCATGAGATTACATTTTCCATCAAGCCCAGCGAGTCACGCACAGCTCTACCTCTTCCTCTGCCGGCGCGCACTGTCTCTGATTCCGGTGTATGCTGGAATTGGGGTGCTGCAGCCCTGTGACCAAAGGGCTGGGAGTCTTTATAAGACTACATCTCCCAGCAAGCACAAGAGGTGCTCACAGCCGCACACCACCCTCCCCGCCCCACTCTTCTTTCAGTGACCGCGCACTGTCCCGTGAACCTGGTGCATGCTGGAATTCTCCCGTTGCGGGATTCAGGAGGATGAGAGAGACCCCGGGTTGAAACAGGAGAATTTTTATTGAGTGCACTCAGTGTCAGGCCTCTGAGCCTAAGCTAAGCCATCGTACCTTCTGTGACCTGCACGTACACATCCAGATGGCCGGTTCTTGTTTTAACTGATGACATTCCACCACAAAAGAAGTGAAAATGGCCTGTTCCTGCCTTAACTGATGACATTGTCTTGTGAAATTCCTTCTCCTGGCTCATCCTGGCTCAAAAGCTCCCCGACTGAGTACCTTGTGACCCCCCCACTCCTGCCCGCCAGAGAACAATCCCCCTTTTTCCTTTACCTACCCAAATCCTATAAAATGGCCCCATCCCTATCTACGTTTGCTGACTCTCTTTTCGGACTCAGCCTGCCTGCACCCAGGTGATTAAAAGCTTTTATTGCTTACACGAAGCCTGTTTGGTGGTCTCTTCACACGGACCCCCATGAAACTGAGGACAAGCTAACTCACATCAAAAAGACTGGGCCCGGAACAAAGACAGAACCTGACTTTTATGCACATTTCACAAAAGGTGGTGGGCTAGCTTGAAGCAAGTTTACAGTGGCGTGAAAGCAGGGATACAGAGGCAGGACAGACAGGATTGCACATGACCGTTGCCAAGCAACCCACATGTCCATTTTCTAGGTTTCCCTGGGCATGGGCTTATCCTATAACCCTCACTATGGTGCCCAAACAGCTGTAGTTCAGCCTACTCAGGCTTCTCATGACTTACATTGTACTTCTTAGATAAAACAGAATACTTGAAGTCACTAGTTACAGAGAACAAGAATCTATAAACTCATTCCGTAAAAAAAGGAAATTTGTTTTTCTTTTCCCGATGTTGGGGGAGCGTTGGGAGAGCCTCCAGAGCACATTAGATAATATTATCAAGACTATTCCTGGTTCTGGGCTGTGCCTGTTGAAGCCTCTGGGACAAGTCAGCCCAATACAAGAAAATTTATTTCTCTTTCTTTTTAATTTTATTTTTCTTTAATTTCCCTCCTCAGTCCCACAGCCCTGTGACCAAAAGACTGGGAGTGTATGTCAGGCCTCTGAGACCAAGCCAAGCCATCGCATCCCCCGTGACTTGCACGTATACGCCCAGATGGCCTGAAGTAACTGAAGAATCACAAAATAAGTGAATATGCCCTGCCCCACCTTAACTGATGACATTCCACCATAAAAGAAGTGTAAATGGCCGGTCCTTGCCTTAACTGATGACATTATCTTGTGAGAGTCCTTTTCCTGGCTCATCCTGGCTCAAAAAGCACCCCCACTGAGCATCTTGCGACCCCCACTCCTGCCCGCCAGAGAACAAACCCCCTTTGACTGTAATTTTCCTTTACCTACCCAAATCCTATAAAACGGCTCCACCCTTATCTCCCTTCGCTGACTCTCTTTTCGGACGCAGCCCGCGTGCACCCAGGTGAAATAAACAGCCATGTTGCTCACACACAGCCTGTTTGGTGGTCTCTTCACACGGACGCGCATGAAATGTACAGTTACGCTTCTGTTCACTTGTCATGAGACTGTTTTCTTTTACCCCCATGAACGTACTTACCATAGCTTCTTTCAAATCTTATCTACTGATTACAGCATCTTGCACATCTTGAGAATAGGTTCTATTGTCTGCTTTTTATCTTGTGAATCGATTACACTTTCATGCTTCTTCACACATCTCATGAATTTTTAAATTGTGTGATAGGAACTACAGGGACTCTGGATTCTGTTGTATTTCTTTGAAAATTATTATTTTAAGAGGGAGTTAATTTGAATAGATTCAAACCCCAATCCTTATCTCTTCCACAGTGGCATAGATAAAATCTTCATTCAGTCTTCTAAACAGTGTGCCTTTCTATATAGCAAAATATAGTATTTTATTAAGCTTTATTATTGTTATCTGTGAAATAGTTATTCAACGAACTAGTCTACTTCATTATTACTGGAAACCAGAACCTCAGTTGTGTTCACTTTCTGGATTTTATATAAGTGAAATTATATAATATGTATACTTTTACATCTACTTTCTTCTAGGCAACTTTATATTTATGATATTAATTCATGCTATTGCAGATAGCTATAGTTTGTTTATTTAAAAAATATTTTTTACATTTTGGCAAAGTATACATAAAATTAACCATCTTAACTATTTTAAGTGTTCAGCTCAGAGAAATTAACTACACTCACATTGTTTTGCAACTATTATTCCCATTCATAAGGATCTTTTTTCAACTTCCAAACCAAAATTCAATACACATTAAATAACAGCTCCCTGTTACTCCCCCTCCAGCTCCTAGGAACCACTCTTCTACGTGGGTTTCCAGAATTTAACTACTCTAAGTATCTCATAAGTGGAATGATACAGTATTTGTCCTTTTATGACTGGCTCATGTCACTTTGCACAATGTCCTTAAGGTTCATGCATGACGTACCATGTGTCAGAATTTCCTTATTTTTCATAACTGAATAATATCCCACTGTATGTATAAATCACATTTTATCTATTTATTCATTGATGATAATTCAAACAACACAGGTAATTCAAAAACCTTTTGAGTGATGTGAGTCATGCTGCTATGAGCTTAGGTGTACGTGTATTATTTTGTGTCTTCGCTTTCACATCTTTTGCAACATACCAAGATGTGAAATTGCTGGATCATACGGTGATTTTGAGTGTAAATTATTTCGTTACTATGGTGTTGTTTTATAGCAGCTGCAGCATTTTACATTTCCACCAAGTGTACAAGGGTTCTAACTGCTCCACTTCCTCACCAACACTTGTGATTTTCTGTTTTTTTTTTCTTTTTGTACTAGTTATGCTGATGTGCATTAAGTGATATGTCATTTGGGGTTAGATTTTCATTTTACTAATGAAAATGAAAAGGTTTTGTTGAGTACCTTTTCATGGGCTTATAAGCCACTTCACATAATTTTTAGAGAAATATCTGTTTAAGTATTTTGCCCATATTTTAAACAAGTAGTTTATTATTGCTGAATTGTTCTTTGTATATTCTGGATAGAGTCCTCTTTATCTATTTTTCTTTTGTTTCTTGCATTTTTGGTGTCCTGTTAAAAGAAATCACTGCGAAATCCAGCCTTATGACGTGTTTTACCTACATTTTATACTAAGAATTTTGTAGTTTTAGCTCTTACATTTAGGTCTTTGATCCAGTTAGTTAATTTTTTCTTATAGTAGAAGTTAAGGGCCCAGCTTCACTCTTTTACATGTGGGCACCCAATTTCCCCAGCACTAATTGTTGTAAAGGCAGTTCATTTCCCATAAAAATCATTTGACCTTATATATGAGGGTTTATTTATATGGGCCTTCTATATTACTCCATTAGTCTCTTTGTAGCATGCTATTTTGGAATTTTGTAGTAAGTCTTGAAATCATTAAGTGTGACTTGTCTAACTTTGGTATTTTTTTCAAAATTATTTTTGCAATTTAAAGATCTTTGAGATTCCCCATAAACTTAAAAATTGATTTTTTAATATCTACACAAGAGTAATTGGCATTTTACTTCTTCGTTACTTCCTAACTACTTTATTCTTTTGATACTATTGTAAATTGAATTGTTTTCAGAGTTTTCTTCTCAGATTATTCATGTTACTACATAAAATGCAGTTTGTTTTTGTATGTTGATTTTGTATGCTACTATTCAGCTGAATTTATTAGTTGTAATATTTTTTGGTGGAATCTTAAAGATTTTCTACATATAAGAATATATTTTCTGTACACATTTTGATGCAGTTTATTTCATTGTCTTTTTTAATTTCTCTGAATGAAACTTCTAATACAGTGTTGAATAAAAGTGGCTAGCAAGAGCAGATATTCACTCTGTCTTCGGAGCTTAGAGGAAACACTTTTGATCTTTTCCTCTGGAATATGTTGTTTGCTGTGGGTTTTTATATGTGAATTTTACAAAGCTGGTTTCCTTTTATTCCTAATTTATTGTTTTTATTATAAAATATTTTGAATTTTGTAAAATACGTTATCTGTATTAATGAGAGAATACTTTTTAAAAAGTTTGTCAATGTGGCATATGCATTGATTAATTTTCATATGCTTAAACTTTTGTTAAGAAAGGCTAGCTAAGTGAACCAGTGAGACTGGAAAAAGAATAAAGAAATCTATACTGGTTGTGATCAATTATTTGTAAACACCACTGCACTGAAACCACCCATATGCTAAAACTTCCTTTCATTCCAATAATAAACTCCCCTTGGTCATGGGTTGTAATCTTGCTAGTATGCTGCTGAATGTAGTTAGCTAGGATGTTGCTGACTAGTTTTGCATCCGTGTTCATAAGGGATATTAGTCTATGGGTTTTTGTAGTATCTTTGTCTGGCTTCGGTATGAGCTAATGGTGGCTTCATGGAATAAGTTTGGAACTGCTCTCTTCAGGCTTTTGGTAGACTTTGGAAAGGATTTTTGTTCTATAAATGCTTGATCTAAATCACTAGTGAAGCCAACAAAATAAGGGCTTTTCTTTATGAAGAGGCTTTTAATTACTGATTCCATTTCCTTAGTAGTTTTGTATCTATTCAGATTTTGTATTTCTTTGTAATCAAGTCTTGTATACCTAGGAATCTGCCCACTTTATCTACGTTTTCCAATTTATCATCCTATCATAGTTCACAGTACAGTTTTTTAAACATTTTAATTCTTTGAATTAGTAGTAATGTCCCACTTTCATTTCTCATTTTAGTATGTGAATATGCTGTTAATTTTTTGTGTGTGTAGCTGAAAGTTTGCCAATTGTTAATTTTTTGAAGAAGTGAGAATGAACTTTTGGTTTTTTGGAATTCTGTGGTTTGTATAATCTCCATTGCATTTATCTCTGCTAAAAGCTTTAATATTTTCTTCTTTCTCTTTGCTTTGCATCTAATTTGGTGTTATTTTTCTAATTTACTAGGTGATAAAGTTATTATTTATTTGAAATCTTTGTTCTTTTTAAATGCATTTTAGCTGCAAACTTTACATCTTAGCACTCTTTTTGCTGTTTCCCTTAACTTTTGATGTGTTTTGTTTTCATTTTTCTTCCTCTGTAAGTATGTTCCAACTTCCTCTGTGATTTCTTCCTTTACTTATTTGTTGTTTAAGGGTATGTTGTTTAATTTATACAGTTTTGTAAACTTTCTAACGTTTCTTCTGTTATTGATTTAATTTGAGATCTACTACACAGCCCATCGTGGGGAAATCCCCATGTGCATTTGAGAAGAGTGTGTAGTCTCTTTTGTTGGATGGAGTATATTGTATATATCTGTTAGATCAATTTGGTTCATTGAGTTATTCAAGAACTCTATTTCCTAATTTATCATCTATCTCATTTTTCTATTCATTACTCAGAGTGGAGTATTAACATCTTCAACTATTATTTTAGAACTGCCTTTTTGCCCCTTTAATTCTGTCAAGTTATGCTTTCTATATCTCAATGTTTTATTATTAGGTATGGGTTTAAACTATTTCTATCTTCCTGCCAAATGGACAATCTATGACTATATAATGTCTTATTGTCTCTTTTAAGTTTTTAAGTCTATTTTGTCTGCTATTAATATAGTCATTCCCAGTCTCTTTTTCATACTATTGGTATAAAATAATTATTTTCTTCCTTTTTTTTTATAACCCTCAAGTCCTGTGGAAGGCTAAGAGCAGCATTACTTAATTTAAAAAGCAGATAAATCTTAAATCCATAGTTTAATATTTCTAAAAGCATTTAAATGGAAATGAGCTACGCAGTCTACCAGGAACGAAGGATATCAGTTGGGTCTAAGAATAATCATGTCAAAAAGCTCTAGGAGGAAAAGCTGCTGGGAATTAAGACTGTGATAACGGTCTTTGGGATCAAGAAGGAAATGGGGAATTGGGGATGCTCAAGGTCAGGTACATGCTTAGCAAAAGACCCAGAAAACCCTAAGCTCTCACCTCTGCATTTTAAACTCTGCACAAGTAGAAAGTAGAGGCTCAAGGAGAGATGTAACTTTATGCTGATTGGTAAAGGCATGCTCCAACACACATACATAGATCTCAGGTGAAAAAATCAGATATTTATGTTTAGTGAGAGTTAAAAAATCTGGAGTCTTACTTTCCAATTAAGGTTTAGTGAAAATATTTGGGGAGATTTGCATTGATCAATTCATCCTGAGGTCAAGAAAATCTTGATTTTGGCATTTGGAGCCTCTAGTAAAGGACTAGCCTCCTCCCAGAGGTGTTCTTTGGGCTTTTGGACTCAGTGACACACTACTGGTTACACTGATTTGAAAGTCAGCTAAGAGCTTGCTGCAGAACTCCTGACAAACTCAGTTTCACCCATAGAGGGCTAGAGCATCCCCAGCTGGTTGAAATTTTATGCCTCCTTCTATCCTCTGAAGCAAAGATGCTGTCTCTGTGGGGCCCCCAATTTACTGAGTGTTTCCTATATGACTGGTCCTGGTTCATAGATGAGTCAGGGAAGGTGAAACCTCATGATGTCCACTGGGCTGCTGTGGCTGTTTAACCTGTGCCAGCCATACAGAACCTGACATGAGTGGTTGCTCCTCTCAAAGGTCAGAACTCAGGGTTTGGGATAATGGCACATATTCTATCTGTTTGGTTATCTACAATGGAAACTGTAGACTGTCTGAATATCTTTTGGGCTGCAAACTGGAGACAATCTCAGATGCTGATCTAACTGGATCACTCATCTAGAAGTCCATGGTAAGGGTTTGTTTTCTAGAGAGTGACAACAATCAAGCTGCAGATTGAACCTAAATCTGTGTCTAACGCAGAGTCTAATACTGCAAACCAGACTTGGGGTTGCTGGTGAAAGTTGACCTATTTGTCTCATGGTTGAAGAATTCCTAGACCATACCAAGCAGAGTAACCAGAAGTGGACTTTTGGCCCACTTCTTGAGATATCAGTCACCACTCTTGACATCTTCAGCATAACAGTATGCCGACACCATCCATACCATGTGTCCCGTGAAGCTAATCTGTGCCATCTTTTAGGCTTTTGAGACCAATTGAGCTCTGACTTCGCGGCATTTTTCACCACACGTACTAAAACAAGCCAACTCTATGATGTTCCCTCCTTTTCCACACATGCTGGTTAGATAATTTGTTGATTAGGTATGGTTTATTTTCTCTTCCTGATTGCCTCCAAGATAAGGATGAAATGTTTGGGGGATCTAGGAATCATCTAGGAATCTATTTCACAAACTTGGAATTTCGTGCTAATAATTCCTGGGTGAAATGTGACTTTCTTTCCCATAACTGCAATTCTAGGCAAGCCTGGCTTTTGTATCCTCTGAGTTGCATCTCAGCCTAGTAGCAGTTATGGGACTCCAACTTAGTTCCAGCTAAGTTTTATGTAAATATTCTTGTCTCTATTTTACCTGGCTCTAGTAGATAAAGTGTCTAGAAAAAAGTAGAGGGCGACTAGAATAAAGATGAGATTATAGGTACCGGAATGAGACACACTGATTCTGTGGAAGTAGTGGGAGAACAACCTGGAACCTGGGGTATGAACAACACAGACCTCGGAAGCTACGGGAAACGGTGGGACATTAACAACTTTTTTTCTTTCTGAACAACCCCTGGTGCAGCCCACAGAAAGGTCTGGAAATACTATTAGTTAGATCAGACGGTAAGGCAGAGGCTGTGGATTCATCTCCTTTTGGTCCCCACATTACTCTTAAGAATCCTTTGAGACTATTCTATCTCTCCGTGATGTAGGCATGGAACTCTAGTGGGCAGTGTGCACTCTCGGTGCCCATGGTTCCAGGCCACAGTTTTTCAGATGATGGACAACAATTGCTTTTTCCTGAAGAGACTTAGTACCCTGTGGCTGAGCTTAAGCGGGACTCTAGACAGCATTGATTGCATTTTCTTCTTCCTCTACGAACTGGGATTTCTCCTTCTGTTTTTCTACTGCCTAGAGGTGAATCTGTATTTGTCAATATTTAGGTAAATCAGAGACATAAATCAGGTAAGGAACCCTAGACACTGCTTCTAGGCTAGCTGGACTCTTGCCTATTTCCCTTCTCACTTTATGAGATCAATTATATTGGCACAGGTTGATACCCTTAGATAGTGTCTCTAAGGAGCAATTAGAGAAGCATACTTCTAGAGAAGCTGGTAGGACAGGGCAGGAGGGCCAATGAGGATCAAAGTTTCTGTCCAAATTTTTGAGCCTA
The DNA here is from genome assembly GCF_000001405.40 of Homo sapiens. Lineage (NCBI taxonomy): Eukaryota > Metazoa > Chordata > Mammalia > Primates > Hominidae > Homo > Homo sapiens. The sequence goes on along the minus strand of NC_000021.9, from coordinate 7,470,401 downwards.
GGTGTGTGTGGCCGACGAATCCAGGAAAGATCCCAGATCCCTGGAAGGGATTGTTAAGAGAGGATCCATTAGATTAGAATGCTAGGGTGGGTGTTCATCCGTCGCCTTCTGAGTGGGATTTTCAGGGTTAAGACTGAGGTAGGGCTGCAGAGAAATGCTATCCTGGGAAAGCCTCTGATCGAGTGCAACATAGGTGGCTCCAGCACAAGGAGAAGTCCTCTATTTGAGGAACATTATACTTGTGTGGATGTGTCTGTGCTCTTCCTCAGCAGAGCCCCACTGACTGAATGATTGTTTGAGAATTATGAGTAAAGAGCCCTATATTATTTTGAATTTAGTAAATATTGGAAGAGAAACAAACAATATTATCTACTTTCAAATTGAATAACAGCATGAGCAACTTTCAGGAAAATGTCACAGGAGGAAACTCCAGGGCCTTGCTCATCCCTGGAAACCTTGAAAATCCTGATGCAACCTGTAGGGTTAAACTTATCAATACTTAATTTTTTGCCATATAGATTTATCTTCATAAAAAATATTTTCATTGGACCTTCATTTTGATATATGCCATGAAGAATAAATCATTTATTTCCTTTGTGATAAGAACATCACATTTTTACACCTCATGTATAAATGATGCCATCACCCATGTAGTTTTTATTGCTATGGCCTGAATGTTTATGTCCCCTTTCAAATTCATGTGTATAATTTTAGGCGTGAGGCCTTTGGGAAAGTGGTGAAGCCAAGAGTTCTTCATCTTCATGAATGGAATCAGTGCTCTTTCAAAGGAAGTTGAAGGGAATGCCCTTGTCCCATGTGCGAGATGGTACCATCTATGGGGAATAGGGCTCTCACCATATACGAAATTTGCTGCTGCCTTGATCTTGCACTTTCCAGACTCCATAACTGTGAAAAATACATTTCTCTTATTTATCCTTTACCCAGTCTAAGGTATTTTGGTATAGCAGCCAAGATGCACTATGACACTTTCTTAGACACTTTGGTTTATTTCTGAATTTTTAGTTTCAGTGATCCATGAGTTTTTTAATCAATCAAGATTTTACACAGGGCTTGCCAGTGGTTTTTTTTTTTTTCAGAGTTTTCTTGTCTATTCTTGTTTGTGTTTTCATCTATATAACATTTTATAGTAACGTGTACTTGCAATATTTAATGGTATCAGTATAGGAACAAAATTGAATTTATAAATAACTATAAGGACAATTGATGTTGATAATATTGAGTTTTTCTGCCTAAGAATATGATACAAATTGTCTATTTGCTTATGTCTACATTCATATATTTCATAAACTTTCTATGTTTTTTCCATATTCCGTAGATATTTTTGTAATATTTATTCCTAGTTTATTCTGCTAAAAAGTAATTTGAGACACAATGAAATTGCAAAGTGTTTATTTGAGTAAGAGCAATTGATAAATTATAAAATATCAGACGGAAAGATATTGAGTGCTTCATTGACAGTGTAAGAAGCAAGTATTTATTTGAAAAATGTAGAAACAAAGAAATCATTTGGTGGTAGCACAACTTTTTTTATTGTTTTTTGTTTGTCTGTTTACCTTGTTGGACAGTTTCTATTTATATAAGGTTGTTGGCTACTTCTGACTGGTTGAGCTTCATTTCTCTTTTTTCAATATGCAGCTACAAGAAATAATTTAAGTTTTGTTTGTATTTGCAAATCAAGCGAGGTTGAGATCACTTATGAGACCTAACTAATTTTGTCTGCTCAGAGATTATTGAGACATGATCTCCATTTTAATTTCCTTTAACAAATTTTCTGTACTTTTACTTTCCATCCAAACAGTAACTTATAAATTATTATTGTTGTACATATGTAGGCCCATGTTGTGTATGCTTTGAAGACCTGTCCTGCATTCAAACTCATTTGTATTATGTTATTATTGAATTTGCCCCATTTATTGGAATTATAAACTGCAATCCCCCAACTACAAGAGGTATGAGCTCTGATGAGATAAGAGTAAAGATGAATCAGAAGTGAAAACAGTCCTCCAACCCACACATGCAGTAAAAACAAATTTCACATGAATACAATGAGTAATTATCTAAAATTTAAAGTACCCTGAAAACATTAATGTTTATCTCATTATTATGTAATATGGAAATTACAAGGCAAAAAAATCCAAAGACTTACTGTTTAAATATAATTGAAGTTTTTTATATGATGAAGTGCTCCATAATTTAAATGTAAAAAGCCAATAGGAAATATATGAAATAAAATAAAATTATACGTAAAAGTGACAATGCCTCTATTAGATTTAACAGTATCTTACAATAGAATAAGTTGAAACCTACAAAATGGAAGAAAGTTTAAAATTAGGCAGATATTATCAGCCTGGTGAAGAATAAATACATATGTCAATAAGCATTTAATGTATTTTGTCTTAGATTTTACATGAAATAATAAAAAGTAAGCAAACCAATAGCATGGTAGTTTCACCCTGATTGATTCAAACTGAAAAAATATTAACATTTCTCCATGAGAAGTTGGATTCATGGATTGGCCTCATGCTGCATTCAAGGCACTTTAGCCAGGATCCAACACTCATTGCCAAGAGTCAGCAGGCTAGAAGTTTGCTTTTAAGATGTTCCCCGGCCTGCGACCAAGACGCTTTTTCCTGACTACTTCTTCAACTCTGACATAGGTTTTGCTGATATAAACGCAAACCCGGCTCTATACCTACCAAGTATCTACTTGGCTAGAGCTGCAAATGGAGCATTTAGGCACTAGGCAAGAGCTCTTCCCACGTTTCCAAGCACACTTTCTAGAATTTCCCAAAACTACTGACATTGTCTTTCAGACCCCATCTCCCAAAGAGAATCAGAGAGATGGTCTGGAAGCCATTTAGAATCTCCAGCCTCCAACCTAGTAACAATGGACTTGGATACAAAGACGCAACCTACTGACCTCAAAGACACCAGCCCAGATTCTGGGCATTGAATTCCTGCCTCCCCATGAAAGATCTCAACTGAGTCACATCAAAGCCCACACTCTTCTTCAAGGTTCACCTTCCAGACACGCTCCAAAACAGTCCCTCAGAATTGTCTTGAGATGAAACAAAAGGTGATGAAGGTCCAGGTTTGGAATGCCTGCCTCATTCTTCACTCCTGAAAAGTCTACACCTGCTGGTTAGCACTCTCATATGTTAGGGAGCCCGGGCTCTGAGTGCATCCTTTAACAGGACCTCCTGGCCTTTTCCTACTTGGAGTAGAGTGCCCAAGAATAATAGGGAATACAAGGCCTCCACTCTCACATGGCTTGATTGACTGATGAACTGATGTCGGAGGAGGAAACATATGTAGGGAACAGCCTGGGTCTTGTGAATCCGTTTCCCAGCTATGATGCCTGTGCAAATGGAGGGAGAATCGTCAAGTATTATTGGGTGGTAGACAGACACTGCCTAATAAAATTAAGTAAATGTAAGGTGACTTGAAGGGGAATTTATCATATGTCATATACAAAATTTTAGTTGGTCAACTTTATTTAAAAACAGTCACAATTTGTAAGGGCATTCAAATATAATTTTAATAGGGAGCTATGAAAATTATCTGCACTTGCTATGTAAGTGATTGAGTTAGGGGTAACTATCTGAAGGTCATGAGCTTGATATCTGCTACTTAATTTCATAAGACATTTACTTGCAAATGGTTGCCATTTTTGCTCTCACTATATGAAAATTTTTTCTTGCAAAGAGCATTCCTATGAAAGAAAAACTAGAAATTTTGCCAATTTCGGCTATTAAAACGATAAAACTGGTTTGTTTGTTATTCTTAACCAAATGCTCTTACAGATGACACATAGTACCCATGCTTTGATTGTTTTTTGTTTTTCTTTTCACCTTAGGTCAATTGCCTTTCATTTTATTTATCAAACTGTATTTACTGTAGATAGACATTGCAGTTCTCATGTGCCCTATGGATTTGTACTTTCTTAGAAGTATGAAAAAATTCTCAGGCTGAGTATATTGGCTTATGCCTGTAATCCCAGCAATTTGGGAAGCCGAAGCAGGTGGATCACCTGAGGACAGGAGTTCAAGACTAGCATGGTCAACATGGTGAAACCCCATCTCTCTACTATTCACAGTTCACATTGTACCTTGCAATGAATATACATTTTATCCAAAAAGGCTAAAAAATAATGAAATTGGGGTGGAAATGGCTGGAAGTATAGGTGAAACAAAAATGACACATGACTAGTAGCTGTTAAATCTGGGTGACTGGTCTGTTATCCTTTTTTTGTATTATGTATACGTTTTTAATGTTCTGTAATAAAACACGTGTAGAAAATGACAAAGTTTATCTACACTTAGCTCTTAAGGTCTTGGTTACCTTTGGGAAGGAGAAAGTGTCAAGGGCATGAGCAAATCTGATTCTTACATACACAAGTGTATTTATTTAGTAATAATTCATCAAGCATTCCATAAATATTTTGTTCCTATATTGCTGTATGCATGTTATTCATCAATAAATATTTAAATAGTACATATTTGCATAACAATCCTAAATTAATATTTTAGAATAATAGTAATGTTTTGTTTTGTTTTAAAGTGGGGCGTGTTCACTCAGGACATCGTCAGGTGTATATTAATGTTCCAAGATATTTATTTACGTTTTAACTTTTGGAAGAGTCCCCTAGGTCTTTTAATTTTTACCTCAGTACAGTAAGTAGCATGGTTTTAACTTTTTGGATTGCAGCTTTGTTTTCAGAAAGGTTCTCCCCGAAGAATGATGCTCACCCCGGCCAGCGCACACAGCACAGTGACCCGTGCACAGGATGCACTGAGCACACACGGCACTGGGTGAACCATGAACAGAAGGACAAGCCAGCCTGGGTCTGCAAAATATACTTTGCAGGAAAAGCAGGTAAAATTGAAAGGTCACAATTCAGCAGCAAACGTTTTTACATTCATTTGAGAAATCATTTCTAACAAAAGCTGCTCGTTAAAGCCATGGTTTTCTGGCTTGCCTACACATTGTAATCACCTGCACAACTTTCAACCGTATTTTTTTCAGATCCAGCTCCAAGGATTCTGATTTAGTTGTGCGGTTACAACTTGGGTTTAAGGGATTTTGATAGTTTTCCTCCCCGCAGGTGACTCTCTTGCGCCAGGGGTAAGAAGCGCTGGATAGGGGTGAGGGGTGCTTTAGCTGTGAGAGATAGCCATGTACGCTTCAGGATTTGCCCCATCGCATATCTGGAGTTCGGGGTCTTAGAAAATATTCTTGCCCTGTTAAAAATTAAAGGATGGCTTCAATACAAATTTAGCTATTTGGCTACGTTGCAGAAAAAGAAAATGCCTTTCCAGAGATCAGTTTTTTGAGTCAGAGTTTTGTTCTGTCAGTGAGGCTGGAGTGCAGTGGTGTGATCATGGCTCACTGCAGCCTTGACCTCCCAGGCTCAGGTGATCCTCCAGCTCCAGCCTTCTGAGTAGCTGGGACTGAAGGCATACACCAGGCATGGCTAATTTTTCAATTTTGTTGTTGTTGTTGTTGAGATGGCTTTCTCTATGCTGCCTGGGCTAGTCTCAAACTCCTTGCCTCAAATGATCCTCCCACATCAGTCTCCCAAACAGTTCAACCTACACGAACAGGCAACCATGCCTGGTGTATTTATTAAAATGTAGCTACTAGAATATTTAAAATTCACATGTGCCTCACATATTATTTCTTAGAGAATTGCCTCATTTTTGAAATCTCAGGCTGCCTGCTCTAAAACCTGGATGTGCCAGGAAAGTAAAACATCTGAAATTTTAAAACAATTGTCATTATATTGCTTCCATGTATGAATAACACATATATATTTTTCATAAATACAAATAATCTTACACACAAATGAAAATGCAAGTATTTTACAGGCAGGGCCAGTGTCCAGTGCATGAAGGAAGCCCTGCCAGAAAAGGATCCAGGAAAAACTTATAATTCTTGCTTTATTCAATCCAGTGTCAAATCACATATGTCACTCATGGCCTGAGGGGGCTTGGTGGGGAATTGAACTATATCCAATCATGGGTGCTGGAGTGGAAATTATCTAATCAGGTGCACAGCTGGAGAAGAATGGGCAGCTTTTTGGATCTAGGGATGCCTTTGCCTGTCTCTCTACTCAGAGCTCAGGACACTAGAGCCACCTCAACGCAATTGCCTGTTTTTTAGTTGTTTTAATGCTCCAAAAGAGAATTAGTTTTCTCATGCATTTTCCAAATGTGTGGCAAGAAGAGCCTCAAATCTACCACCCTGTTACCCCAGCCTAACTCTGGCTTGCTGTCAGAGTTTAAATTTCCAGTTCTTTCCTGACACTTACCAACACTAACTAACCTTGTGTAACTCACAACATTATCAACTGTTCTTTATTGTACATTTTAGACACAGTATTTTAATTCTGCATTTTTTCAAAAAGCAGTGGATGACACTTAAAAAAATATTTTTCATTTGTAAACATTTTACAGGACATGAAAGCAGATAATAATCCCCTGACAATCCACAGTAAAAAAAAAGAAAAGAAAAGAAAAGAAAATATTTGTGCCCCTTTCTTTAATCTTCCCTTGGCACAGACACCCCATCAGAATGTTTTTGGGTTGAGGTTTCATTTCAGAAACCTCACAGGGCAATACATCCTCAGCCATCTTGTGTTATTTTCTTGGTTTTGGGTTTCAAAACTGTTTGAGAATCCCCAAGATACCAACACTGGCCATGACTCTTGAAGTGTCTAGTAAATAACATCCCTTGTGTCATCTCCTCTCAGGGAACAGCCCAAGGTATGGGAATGCAGCCTCTTTTTGGAGTGGTTGGATGCACTATACCTGGAAGGAATCTCCACGTATACATTTGCGCTAAAAGCAAACCCTTTAGGACATTAAGAATTTCTTACCCCAACGCTTAGTTTCCATTCCTTAGAGACACATTGCATGCCAGGCAACTGGATGCTGAATAGTGAGGAAAAAATGTCCTCAGATTGGTGAAGGGAGAGAAAATATTTCAAAGGACAAAGAAACCCAACCTAGTGAGGCAGTGCAAAAACCTGCAAAGTAAAATGCACCTCACAGACACAGTGGAGCAGAGCGTAGCAGCTCCTGGTAGGACGCTCATGACCCACATCACTGAACCAGATAGAAGCAGGGAAAATATCCCAAGTAATAGAACGGCTTGACTTGACCCTTGGGTCAGATATGTCTGTGTTTCAATCACCATTGTCACCTTCTAATTTTGTCACCTTGAAAATATGATTGTATTTATTTTAACTTCACTTTTTCATTAACTGTAAATTATGTTTTATCAGTAGAGCTTCAAAGGTATGAGAATATTTATAAAGCACATTAAGTTGGTGAATTTTGAATAAAATTAAGTAGTAATGTATTTCATTTGTTAAAAATTGTTACTTACCTATTTCCTCAGCAGAATGAGTGTAGCATGTCTCCCAGGTCTGTTTTTTATTTGTTTGAGAGGTGATTTCAAGCAGAATCTCACAGCTTACTGTTGGAAATGCTATCAGTTGTAAAGATAGGGAAAATCTCTCTTCCACTACGGTGGTAGGAAATGAATACATATCTGCAAGCACATGAGGTAGATTAATTGTCAAATTACATAAATTTATCACATAAGTTATTCTTTTTTTCAAAAGAGAGAACTTGTGAAAGTGAATAACTCTATTCCATATGCTGCCATCTGGGTGTTTGAGGGTAATGTTAAGTTTTAGGAGCTGGGACTTTGCACCTCCTGGAAGTGTTCACATATGATTAATTGTTTACTAAATGATTTGTTTTGAACATAATTAAATTACATGTTTATTTTCTGAAAGGGATAGATACTTTGGCTTTTCTTGATGAATTATAAGATATAAGCCCCTTATAATGTTTTTATTTTATTTTATTCTGTTATTTTTTAGATGTAGTTTCACTCTTCTTGCCCAGGCTGGAGTGCAATGGCAAGACATCTGCTCACTGTAACCTCCAACTCCTGGGTTCAAGCGATTCTCCTGCCTCGGCCTCCCGAGTAGCTGGGATTACAGGCATACAACACCACACCTGGATAATTTTGTATTTTTAGCAGAGACGGGGTTTCTTCATGTTGGTCAGGCTGGTCTCAAACTCCTGATCTCAGGTCATCTGCCCGCCTAGGCCTCCCAAAATGTAGGGATTACAGGCATGAGTCACCATGCCCGGCTGTAATTTCCTCTCTTTTATATCTTAGATTTGAATAATTTTTGCTGGATTCTTCAAACATGAAGTATTTTTTGAATTGAAAACTAACTGAATGACTAACTGGTAAATAGAAGTCTTAGACCATTGACTAAAAGCTAAGGCCCACCTTGACCCTGCAAAAGAGGACCACTGAAGGCCCAGTTGATTATTCCTGGGTGTCTGCCCTGCAGGTGTCCAAGCCTACTCACACCAACCATGGAAGGAGCCTTTGTCACTGCCAGAAGATATAGAGCCTTGGTAAGCTGGAAGTTCACAGGCAGATGCAGTTGAGGTTGAGATAGAAGAAATGTTGGGAGATTCTTTTTAGAATGGAATTGTTATTGTCCTCAGACTGTTTCTAGACTTGGTCTAAGAAGTTACCTAAGAAGTATTGCAACAAAGAAAAAGTACAAATGATTAGATCTTTGAGTATCTCTAAGGTTAGGTGGAAAAGGGCCTTATTTCATAGGGAGGAGAAAACAAGTTTACAAAGAAGGTTGGAAAGGAAGCACACGATGGAGGGTAGCAAAATGCGATCCCAGATAAGATAATGTTTCACCTTGAACTCAGCCTGTTCTTAGGAGGGGTATGTATAAATAAGGGTTGTAGGTTTGCTGAAGCTGTGGGTGAGTCAAAGTTCAGGGGCTGGTTGGAAGAAGAGAAACAAGCAAAGTTTCTTTAAGAGTATGTTATTTGGACCACTGAAGACTAAATTACTGAATGGTTGTTCATTTTTAAAAATGGGAATTTGCAATCTGTGTCCATTTTTGTGATAGGTTAAAAAAACAGCAGGGAGCATCCTCAAAGTCATCAGGGGAAGCACGTTTCTCTTCACTAAGCTGTTCTTTGAGAATGCAAAGAATGGGGGAATTTCTTTAAATATAGCTATTTCCAGGATTGCCTTCACCCACAACTGTTCCTTGCCCTAGACATCTCTTCCATTTGGCTGTTTCTGAGTTATATTTTTATAATAAAGTAGTAAATATAATTACAGTTATTTGTTGAGGTTTTCTTTTTAGTAATTCTATCAAATTATTTAACTTGAAAAGGGGTTTATGCTAGTCTCAGATTTATAGGAGGTAGCTCAGAAGTGTAGATGGGCTTCAGGGATGTGTAACTCTCCTCTACAGTGAGAGGGGTGATGTGGGACTGAGCCCTGAATTTCTGGGATCTGTGTGAACTCTAAGTTGTGTCAGAATTAAATTTTGGGGCAACAAATGGGTGTTGGAGAAGCAGTGGGTTTTCAGGGAACTTTACACATTTAGGATCAAAAGTGTTGTAAGGAGAAAGACAATGTGGGGGCCTCTGCTGGAGAGAGACTCCAGGTGTCTCGGGGAAGGTAGGCTCTGCTCTGCACACAGGCTGCTACACCATGCACTGCCCTGTGGTTCCAGGCATTCTCCCATGGTAAGAAGGACCGACGACTCTGAGGGAAGAAGTTCTGAGAACAGATGCCTTCTACCCTCCTGCCAACCTGAGGCCACCACAGGTTTTTCACCCACTGAACATACACACTGCATGTTGATGTGGCCAAGCCCCTCTCAGGACAAGGCTTTGGCATCAAGATTGTTGCCCATGCTACCTTTCCTCATAGACTTTCCCACCAAAAACCCACACATGTGCCTACAAGACCCCTGGCATACGTTCTACCTCAGACACCGAATCTGCAGGGGCAACCTGGTTTTTTCACCATCCCAGGTTTCTGTGCCACCTGATCATAATCTCGTCTTCCTGCATGGACACAGAAATAAGTCAGAGTAAAGTTTCACCTGGGTCAGTATCTGTAGCATGAACCAGTCCTTCCACCAACCCTGTACTGTCTCCCAACTGTGGGTTCTTAATAGCACCTTCCCCTCTTTTACCTTTTAGTTCACCTCAAACCTTTTATTTACGTGCACTTAGTGTGTCCAAGCCACCCCTCAGTTGCCTGAATCCAGCACCTACTAAAATTCAGATGTCCAGTAGTTCAAGACCATGGGCCTAGACCATGTTTTTGCAGAAGGAAATACATATTAGAAATGAGAGGCTCTATTCTCCCATTTGAAAATTAAAAAAGATATTTTTTCTTTTCCCTTTTCTTAAACAATGTAATTTAGAGAACTTTTTTTAGTAATTTTTTGAAATGGAATCTTACTCTTTTGCTTAGTCTGAAGTGCAATGGCATAATCATAGCTCACTATAACCTTAACTTCTTGGGTTTGAGCAGTCCTCCTGCCTCAACCTCTTAATTACCTAGGACTATAGGCATGCACCTCCAGGCCTAGCTAACTTTTTATTTATTTATTTATTTATTTATTTATTTATTTATTTATTTATTTTTTCAAGACAGTGTCTTGCTCTGTGGGCCAGGCTAGAGTGTAGTGGCATGATCTTAGCTCAATGCAACCTCCGCCTCCCAAGTTCAAGCAATTCTCTTGCTTCAACCTTTTGAGTAGCTGGCATTACAGGCGCACAGCACCATGCCTGGCTAATTTTTTATTGTTATTATTTTTAGGAGAGAAAGGGTTTCACCATTTTGGCCAGGCTGGTCTCGAACCCCTGACCTCATTATCCACCTGCCTCCGACTCCCAAAGTGCTGGTATTACAAGCGTGAACCACCATGTCCAGCCATATTTATTTTATTTATTTTTTTATGGTGACAGAATTTCACCATGTTGCCTGTACTGGACTCAAACATTTGGCTTCAAGAGATCCTCCTGCCTTGGCCTCCCCAAATGTTGGGATTACAGGCATGAACAGCCGTGCCTGGCCTGGAAAACTTTTATATGTATCTTTTTTTCTCTGCTTCTTTGAAATATAAGCAAATCATTTTAACAGCTAAATAAGCCTTTTGCCACTCTTCATGACACAGAATTGTCTTTGTCTAAGACCTGGAAACTATTGTTTTGTTTTTTAATTTGGCAAAGATTTATTGATTTTTTATTTTCAGTCTTTTGAAGTAGGCACAGCTCAGTACAGTGGCTCATGTTTTTAATCCCAGTGCTTTGGGAGGCTGAGATGAGAGAATTGCTTGGGCCCAGGAGTTTGAGACCAGCCTGGGCAGCCTAATGAGTCTCCTTCTTTATAAAAAATTAAAATCAACTAGCAGGGCATGGTGGCACAGGAGGCTGAGGTGAGAGAATCATTTGAGCCCAAGAGTTTGAAGCTGCAATGAGCCATGATCACAGCACTCTACCACAGTACTCCAGCTTGGGTAACAGACGGAGACCTGTCTCTAAATAAATAAGTAAATAAAAAAAAGTGTTTTTCCATACATAAAAATAAGTAAATAAACAGATAAATAAAATAGACATGGATTTGCTGAGAATAAAGCTAATTACAAGATAACAGAAAAGTGAGAACCAAAGATGGGGTTCACCCTAGCAAATGATTCCAGCCTATTAGAACACTCAGAATTTTCCCTGCAGCATGACCGACATGAAAGTAGAATGTCATCATGTCAGGCTGTACCAGCGTCGGGAGACTAAACACTGTGGGGAAGAACCTCCCTTATGGAATATTATCAACAGGTGAGAGCCCAGCTCCTGCCCTGATGGGCTACAGAAATGAGTTCCTGAGATAACACATTGCAGAAACATGCATAGAGTAGTTTAACCTTTTTTGTGTGTAACCCTTTCTCCATTTTCCTGCGAAATCCTCCCTAGTAATAGTGTTAGCTTTTAAGTTTTGAGGGTCCGATAGGACTGAAGCTGCATGCTGCAGGAGATACGTGGGGCCGGAAACTAACACAAACTGCAGCCACAGGCATAAATACTCATGGCCTAATGTAAAGTGAAAACTATACAAAATTCTTTACCGTTATTCGCACAAGTGTGTGAAGAGAGACTTTCCACATAACCAACTTGCCACTGAGACTAGTGAAGGCCAGATTCCACTGGAACAAGGCTATGAGTTACTCATGGGAAGGCCGTAGGACAAAGCCCAGAGATTTTTCATATTTGAGTCTGGGTCCTGTTTCTTTCCCTGTCTTCTCAGCTTTCTGTCTGTAGAGACCCCTATGTGGCTGCTCTCAGCACAGCCCAGTGCTGGCTGTGTTTGCTGGTTTAGTGCACCTGCTCTTTTTCCAAAAAGAGGGAGGAGTTGGCCACATTAAACTGAATGATGAAGCTCCTCATCAATCTGAATGCAGCTTTGTAAATGTGCCTAGAAACCACGCAAAGAAAAGTCTGTGTTCTTCCTTGCTTTGACCGTATGTGACACCTCCATTAGAAATTCTGCTTTTCTCTGCACTCCAGCCTGGGTAACAGAGTGAGACTTCATGATAAATAAAAAAGAAAGAGAGAGAGAAGGAAAGAAAGAAAGAGAGAGATGGAAAGAAAGAAAGAGAAAGAAAAAAAAAAGAAAGAAGAAAGAAAGAAAGAGAAAGAAAAGAAAAGAGAAAAGAAGAAAGGAAAAAAGAAAAGAAGAAAGGAAAAAAGAAAAAAGAAAATAAAAGAAATTCTTCTCTTCAGATTAGGCACATAAGGAGAATCTGTATAAATCTCCATGAAGGAAGGAAACCAGAGGACAAGTTAAAGTCTTGGAATTCACATCTGAGTACACAGACTCGTTCTCCAACCCTCTTCTTTTTATTCTGCCAGCTATGGCCTAGGTATGAACATGACAGGTACACAAGAGTTCCAACACCCGACAATCTACTTCAGTCCAAGAAGAGTGCCCTCCCTCTTGCTCCCCATCCAACTCATGGTACTAAGAAGTGGTGTGGGACTGCCCAGATGAGTTGACAAGAGAGGCTGGCGTGGAGGGGCCTGTCCTGGGCTGCCCTGTGTTATTTGTAGGTGCACCCGGCCAAAAGCCAGGGACATCAGTGATGAGGGCTCAGTTGACATCTGTGTTATCAGATAAGACTTTTACATTGAGCCTTTGTAAGGCTGAAACTCAGAAATTTCAGGGCACAATGAAAGAGCATCTCACTCTCTTGAGCAACTCTCACAAACAGAGGTGGATACAGAGCTGTCTCAAGAATGTGGATTCCTGGTTTCTTAACTGCTGTTGGGTTCTGACACCAAGAAAGTATGTTAAACTCTTCAAGGTTCCATCTACTGGGCCCCATGTTTCTGTAAGACATACCGAAAGGCCCCACTATGCTACTGATTGCTCAGTCTCCTCTTCCATGTCAACTCTTTATTTGTACACAATTATGCAAACACAACTTCCCCTTAATTCCCTGGAAAGACCTAAATGCAACCTGGGTTCCAGGATAGAAGAGACAGCTGGAACATAACCTTGTTTTTCTTACCATCTCTGGGACCCAGTAAAAGTCACTGTATTCAAGGCTTCCCCAGCCTCCTAACATGCACACTGGTGATGATGCTAACATCTACTTCCTAGGGAATGTATTAGGTGTATATAAGATAAGACATAAAAATAATGATGTAGTGTCACCTGTAGATAATGCATACACTTAGAGATGGAAGCATTAGGAGAATAGGTGGGAGGTAGCATGGGCCACAACTCAAACAGGCCTGGTGTCTGCCAGGGTGATCTTGGAAATATCACTTCTCCACTGGGCCTCATTTTCATTCTGCTCCAGTATGAAGTTGAAATTAAATGTAGATACTGTCCTCTGGCATTCATATAGTTTAGCTGTGCGTCCCCACCCAAAACTCATTGTGTATTATAACCCCTAGGTGTTAAGGGAAAACCTGAGGGGAGATGATTGGATTATGGGGACGGGTTCTCCTCATGCTGTTCTTGTGATAGTGAGTTCTCACGAGATCTGATAGTTTCATAAGCATCTGGTACATCCCATGCTCTCACTCACTTCACTTGTCAGCCACTGTAATTGGAAGGTTTCTGAGGTGCCCCCACAATTATGTGGAAATGTGAGTCAATTAAACTTCTTTACTTTATAAGTTACCCAGTCTCAGGTACTCCATCATTGCAGTATGAGAATGATCTAATACAGGAATTCAACTTTCTAGTGCTTTCTCTTTATATTTAGAATCATATCCATGTGCCTTATCACGTCTATGACAGAGGAAGTCTTCACAAAGTCTCCCAGTACTAGGTATTGAGTGACTCAGTTTTTTATTGAATAAAATGGAATACTTCCTGATGCCAGTACTATGGCCCTTCGGTTTTGAGGAAAATATCATCTTGTATGTTGGCTAACAAGGAGATAGGAGTTCAAATCAAATTTGTTTTGTCATACTGGCTTTAAGGCAGTGATTAGAAAAGGCCTAATAGGTGGGTTCTGTAGGGGATTGCTGGAAGGAAAGTAGGAATATGGAAAGTCATGAGACATATACAGTCATCTCTTCTTGTTTCCTCACAGGTCACATACAAATTCAGGGAGAGTTAGTATGAAGCACACAATGGAAATTTGGGCTCCAAAGTCTGCAAAGTGATGCTTCATGGACTTCAGTTGGCAATATTGGTTCCAACAATTTCAGCCAATGTTTAAAAAACTTATAGCAGTTAAATTTTTAGTGTTTCAACAAGCCGTTTCCTATCTTTCATTCTGAAGATCCATTTTTTAAGTCTTTTTTTTTAACAGTATAGGGGGTACAAATTCAGCTTCTCTCCAATGAAACACAGAAAAGGATATCACTTTTGTATTAGTTCAGGCTGCTATGCCAAAGAACCATAGATAGGCAGCATATAGACAACAGGACTTAATTTCTCATACCTCCAGAGGTTCAAATTTGAGATCAGGGTGTCAGCATGGTTGAGATCTGGTGATGACTGGCTTCTGAATTTCAGCCTGCACACTTCAGGTTTTACCCTCATTTTGCAGGAGGATGAGAGCCCTCTGCGGTTTCTTGTATAAAGCCAGTAATCTGTATTATGAGGGTCCCACCCTAAGGGTTTAATTACATTCTACCTCCTTATAGCATTACGCCCGGGGTTACAATTTTAACACAAATATAGAAGAAAAATTATAGTAACTCTCAAGTTTTTTTTCTTTCTTTCTTTCTTTCTTTTTTTTTTTTTTTTTTTTTTTTTTTGAGACACAGTTTCACTCTTGTATCCCAGGCTGGAGTGCAGTGGTGTGATCTCGGCTTATTGGAACCTTTGCCTCCCAGGTTCAATTGATTCTCCTGCCTCAGTCTCCCAAGTAGCTGGGATTACAGGCATGCGCCACCACATCTAGCTCATTTTGTATTTTTAGAAGAGACGGTGGTTTCACCATGTTGTCCAGGTTGGTTTCAAACCCTTGACCTCAGGCGATCCACACGTCTCAGCATCCCAAAGTGCTGGGATTACAGGTGTGAGCCACCGCACCCTGTCAAGATGTTTTTAAAGCTCTAATTTTTCTCCTACTGGGTTTTTCTCGTTTGCGCCCTCGATCTTTCTGTCTCTTTTTGTGTAAACCTTTTTGTCTAATTCTGTCTATTGTATTCCTCAAACACAGGAAGCAAGCTCCAATGCTATGAGATGCTCCATGTAGAGACCCACATAACAAAGGGTGAGAGGGTGCTCAGACGAGTAGAGAGAAGGAAAGTCAGGCTCTCCAGCCACACTAAACCCTGTCAATTTTCACATGAGTCAGCTTAAAGGCTCATGCTTTCCCAGTCCAGCTTCAGTTAAGACCACAGCCCCCAGTCTCATAAAAGACCTGAAGGCAGAGGTAGCCAGCTGAGCTGTGTCCAGATTCTGGTCCACACACATTATGAGATATTATATGTTGTTGAAAAGTGCTGACTTTTAGGGCAATGTTGTCAGAAAGGAGCAGATATCTAACCTCATCTCCCAGGCCCTAGGATTCTCCATCCCTCTGCTTATCTCTTTCTCAGGCTGTCTGCAGCCAAACTAGTCCCTTTTTACCTCTGCCAAACTCACACCTATGAGTTTTTTCACTAAGGGTGGCTTCTCCCTGACACATGCTTGTGCAGATGCCTCCCTGCTGTCATCCTCATCATGGATTAAAAGTCACCTCAGTGAGGCCTGAGGTCCTCCCATGCAATAATTTTCCAGGTTTTCTTCTCAATAATCTACTTTATATTATAGTCCTTGCTCTTTTCTTTCACATATACTTGCTTTAGTGCTTTTGTCCAGCGGTCCTCAGATTGTTTGGTCCTGGGTTGGGGGGTGCAGACATGAAGTAATAATTTTCTGTACCACATGTTGGACCCACCAGGGTCGCTGGCAAATGGTGAGCGCAAGGGAAAAAAGACTGGCTAAGTGATTATATGGGGGATCCCTAATATCCCTTCCCCTTTTGACCACCTGATAATGTGGACATCACTGATAACAACATGAGGTGTGTGACTGTTACTTGTTCCAGCTGCTCCAGCAAAGCTCAGTGGGCACCAGAAACACAGTAGGCTGTAACCACCTCCTGGCCATCACTAACCCTACAGCCCCAAGCAGGAGCACTACTGAACAAATCTGATACCTTGATTTTTCTGTCCTCAAGACACTGGTTCTTCAAGGTCCTAGGGGATAAAGTAGCAGGATCTGAAGGCCCCAAGTATAATGAGTGAACTAGGAATCCCGTTTTGCCCTCTCTTTGCCTCCACCTTTTTGGTTGTGCTATTTACTCATGAGGTATCCTCCCCTTATCCAGTGAAATTATTTTCTACCACTTTCAAATGAGGACCTTAAGAACGCAACAGTAGCTGAGATTTTCCGTGGACCTCAGCCTCAGAGTCCAGTGCTCTGGCACATTTAACTCTGTCTCATCTTCATCTACCCAAGATGCCTCTCAAGTGGCCATGCCTCCCTCTGATTTGAAGGATCTGCAGAGTGGGTGCATTTTTGCAGTCTCAGAGCAAGAATCCAGGCTGGCAGACACTTATGAGTATGTGAAATCATCAAGGTCACCCACTTCAGGCACCCCTATTTATGAGGAAGAAAACAAGCTTTCCTGTAGGCACTGTCTACATTAGGCTGAGGTGGAGCATAGCTCATTTTACTTCCAGTTGCCCTCAGAGCTGGATGCAGAACCCCAGTCCTGTTATCTTGAAACTGACATGGAGAGGACCCCATGTGAACAGAACCCTGAATCTGCTCATTTTCTGTGCTCCTGAATGTGTAGCTACAGACTCTAATTTCGAAAACAAACCTGATAAGTGGGACGGTGCCAAGGCCTAGGAAGCTGGAGCCCTCTCTAATGCTCTGGAGCCTGCCCACCTCCTGAGATCTGGACCAGTCTCTGCCTCTTCTGGGGCCTCAGTTTCCCAATTGTAATGTAATGAGAAATTAAATGTAAAACTGCATAAACATATGCTCTGTGAGAATTTGGTGTCAGAGTTCTCAATACTGGATGATAATTTGGAGTGGGGTGGGTTTGGGACCCATGGGTTCTCAGGCCTCCTTTCACACCCAGTGCAGTAGGTGTAGAGCTCTGGACAGCCAGGTGTTCTTTCCTGAGCCAGCTGATTACAACACAATGGACCAAGGGCTCTGATCTTAAATATGGTTTCACAGGATACCCCACCTTCAGCCACCACCTGCTCTGTGCTTCCCATATTTTGGGGAGCTGATGACAAACCCCATTATAGTGAAGAAGAACAAGAAACTAGACTTGTGGGCCTGGGGAAAAGAAAAAAACACTTCTATTTCTCCCAAACTGTAGAATCTCTTGTCAAATATTTAATTTTGATTATATCTGAGCTTGATAATACATTCATGTGTTAACAGCTGCTTAAATTTATTTTTTCTGTGAAGTGTGGGATAATGTCTTTGCCGTATTTTAAATCAAATTCTAAAAGCTCTCTTTAGAGTGGATAAGTGAGCATCTTTGTAATATAAACTTCACATATTTGTTGCCAGTTTGTTCTTTTTGTTTTTGTTAAAATGTTTTGTTTTATTCTGATTTGGATGTCTTTTGGCGTTTTGCTTTGTGGCTATTTATTATGACAGTGTAACTTCTCCTCTAATTGACTGACGGTTTGTACATTCTCAATAAAATATTTTCATAAAATCTTTGTAAAAATTGTGTAGTCAATTTTACATTACATAAACATAAAACAGTAAAGACTATCACGATGAAAAAGGAAGATTGAGGGCTTAAAAAGTAAAATACGACACAGCTAAAGTAGTCTGAAAGGGAAATTTACAGCACTAAATCCCCACAAGAGAAAGCAGAAAAATGTCTAAAATCGACACCGTAACATCACAATTAAAAAAACTAGGGAAGCAAGAGCAAACAAATTCAAAAACTAGCAGAAGACAAGATTTAAGATCAGAGCAGAACTGAAGGAGATAGAGACACAAAAAGCCCGTCCAAAAAATCAATGAATCCAGGAGCTGGTTTTTTTAAAAGATCAAGAAAATAAATAAACTTCTAGCCAGACTAATAAGGAAGAAAAGAATCAAATACATGCAATAGGAAATGATAAAGGGGATATAACCGTTGATCCCACAGAAATAAAAAGTATCATTACAGAATATTATAAATACCTCTTTGCAAATTAACTAGAAAATCTAGATGAAATGGATAAATTCCTGGACACATATACCCTCCCAAGTGCAAACCAGTAGGAAGTCGAATCCTTGAATAGGCCAATAACAAGTTCTAAAATTGAGGCAGTAATTAGTAGCCTACCAACAAAAAGAAGTCCAGGACCAGACGGATTCACAGCCGAATTCTACCAAAGGTACAAAGAGGAGCTGGTACCATTCCTTCTGAAATTATTTCAAACAATAGAAAAAGAGGTACTCCTCCCTAATTCATTTTATGTGGCCAGCATCATCCTGAAACCAAAACCTGGCAAAGACACACCAGAAAAAGAAAATTTCAGGCCCATATCCCTGATGAATATCGATGCGAAAATCCTCAATAAAATACTGGCAAACCGAATCCAGCAGCACATCAAAAAGCTTATCCACCACGATCTAGTCAGCTTAATCCCTGGGATACAAAGCTGGTTCAACATATGCAAATCAATAAATAAAATCCATCACATAAACAGAACTAATGACAAAAACCACATGATTATCTCAATAGATGCAAAAAAGGCCTTCAATAAAATTCCACACCTCTTCATGGTAAAAACTCTCAATGAATTATGTATTGATGGAACCTATCTCAACATAATAAGAGTTATTTATGACAAATGCACAGCTAATATCATACTGAATGGGCAAAAACTGGAAGCATTCCCTTTGAAAACCTGCACAAGACAAGAACACCCTTTCTCCCCACTCCTATTCATTATAGTATTGGAAGTTCTGGCAATCAGCAAAAGAAAGAAAGAAATAAAGCGTATTCAGATAGGAAGAGAAGAAGTCAAATTGTCTTTGTTTGCAGATGACATGATTGTATATCTAGAAAACCCTACCATCTCAGCCCAAAATTTCCTTAAACTGATAAGCAACTTCAGCAAAGTCTCAGGATACAAAATCAATGTTCAAAAATCACAAGCATTCCTATACGCAATAATAGGCAAACAGAGAGCCAAATCATGTGTTAACTCTCATTCACAATTGCTACAAAGGGAATAAAATACCTAGGAATCCAACTTAAAAATGATGTAAAGGACCACTTCAAGGAGAACTACAAACCACTGCTCAAGGAAATGAAAGAGGACACAAACAAACGAAAACAATCCATGCTCATGGATAGGAAGAATCAATATTATGAAAATGGCCATATTGCCCAAAGTAATTTATAAATTCATTGCTATCCCCATCAAGCTCCCATTGACTTTCTTCACAGAATTAGAAAAAAAACTACTTCAAATTTCATATGGAATCAAAAAAGGTCTTGCATAGACAAGACAATACTAAGCAAAAAGAACAAAGGTGGAGGCATCATGCTAGCTGTCTTCAAACTATACTAAAAGGCCACAGTAACCAAGACAGGATGGTACTCGTACCAAAACAGATATATTGACAAATGGAACAGAACAGAGGCCTCAGAAATAACACTCAACATCTAGAATCATCTGATCTTTGATGAACCTGACAAAAACAAGTAATGGGGAAAGGATTCCCTATTTAATAAATGGTGTTGGAAAACTAGCTAGCCATATGCAAAAAACTGAAACTGGACTTCTTCCTTACTCGTTATACAAAACATAACTGAAGATGGATTAAAGACTTAAACATAAGACTTAAAACCATAAAAACCCCAGAAGAAAACCAAGGCAGTACCATTCAGGACATAGGCATGGGCAAAGACTTCATGACTACAACACCAAAAACAATGGCAACAAAAGCCAAAATTGACAAACGAGATATAATTAAACTAAAGAGCTTCTGCACAACAAAAAAAACTATATCAGAGTGAACAGGCAACCTAAAGAATGGGAGAAAATTTCTGCAATCTATCCGTCTGACAATGGGCTGATATGTAGAATCTACAAAGAACTTAAACAAATTTACAAGAAAAAAAGAAACAACAACATCGAAAATGGGCAAAGGATTTGAACAGACACTTCTCAAAAGGAGACATTTATGCAGCCAATAAACAAATGAAGAAAAGGACATCATCACTGGTTATTAGACACATGCAAATCAAAAACACAATGAGAAACCATCCCACACCTGTTAGAATGGTGATCATTAAAAAAATCAGGAAACAACAAAGGATGTGGAAAAATAGGAAGACTTATACACTGTTGGTGAGAGTGTAAATTAGTTCAACCAGTGTGGAAGACAGTGTGGTGATTCCTCAAGGATCCACAATGAGAAATACCATTTGACCCAGCAATCACATTACTGGGTATATACCCAAAGGATTATAAATTATTCTATTATAAAGATACATGCATACGTATGTTTATTATGGCACTGTTCACAAGAGCAAAAACTTTGAAACAAACCAAATGACCATCAATGATAGACTGAATAAAGAAAACTTGGCATGTCCACATCATGGAATACGATGCAGTCATAAAAAGGATGAGTTCATGTCCTTTGCAGGGACATGGATGAAGCTGGAAACCACCATTCTCAGCAAACTAACACAAGAGTAGAAAAGCTAACATCGCATGTTCTCACTCATAATAGGGAGTTAAACAAAGAGAACACACGGACACAGGAAGGGGAACATCACACACTGGAGCCTGTCGGGAAGTGGGGGACTATGGGAGGGATAGCATTAGAAGAAATATTCCTGGCCTAGGCCACTATTGCGATTTTCTAAATTTTGTTTCAAAAACATGATATGTTTCAAAAATTGTTATTGGTATGTAATTATATAAATATATAGTTCAGAAAAAAGAATCAACATTAATTATGCTTTTTCCAAAATACTTTATGGTTTTGAGCTCTTCTAGCAGTGACATTTTTGCTGTAGGTAATTGCTGTGTATCTGGTATATTCATCATAGCATACTTTGTGCCGTTTACACTTATCCTTCAATTTCCCACTCTCCTAAGTGTAAAAGTTCAAGGCCAGAGCTCCCATATCTTCCCAATATTACTTTTTGAAAAGAAGCTTCTATGTACTGTTTTCTCTGGGTCTTGATTGGATATATTGCTAAAAGAGCTGAAAAATAATAATTTTTTTAAAAATTCGGTGATGAGATTAAAGTAAATATATTTTATAAATCTAATGTACAAAATGAGGTCAGCTGAGAAGACAATGACAGTTGAAGCAGAACCTGAGATCCTGTTTCTCTCCATTGACATATGAACTTAACTACAATTGGGCGAACAAAGCCAGTTGAGTTTGTAGCACCCCACATGAGAAAAAAGCCAACCATAACCACATTTAGAAGAAAATTTGGTCACATTTGTGCACTACAGAACAGCGCAGTTAGATAAAAATCTGTCCATTCCATGATTCTCCTTTGGGAAAGAAAAAAGAGTGAAATGCGTATGCAAACTTCTGACTTACTGAGTTATACCGGGGTTATCTAAAGACTGGAAATTGCTTCCTTTAACATTTAGTGTTGATGAGAATAGAGACTGAGTTTAAATGACAGCTTGGGTCAACTGAGAATAAAGATAAATGCTTCTTACAACAACAGAGACTGTAGTGCCTACAACAGTGACGAAGGGAAGAGACTAAAGGCTCCTAAGAGGAAACAGAGGTAAACCTTATTAACAAGAAAATACATACAGTAGTCCAAAGAAGACACATTTTGACAACAGATTGGAGAAGCTCCCAGTATGACTACTGTGGCTGAATGTTGTCAATTTTCCCATGTATAAAGCTCTTTCATAAAGGATAAAATAGGTAGTGGTTTCTTAATTGATCAAAACCTTAACAAAACTACAGTAAGTAAAAGCAACCAGGAAATATAACCTAATCAAAGGAGAAAAATATATATTCAAGTGAACCTAAAGAAGTGGAGATCTAGGAATTATTTTTTTAACTTAAAATCTTTTTATTTTTCTTTACTTTTTCATTTTATGCAGAGGATCTTACTTTATCTCCTGGGACAGAGTACACTGGTGGAATCACAGCTCACTGTAACCTCAAATTTCGGAAGTCAAGCAGTCATGCCACCTATGTCTCCTGAGTAAATATGACCACAGTTGTGCACATTACCCCTCCTGTATAGTTTCTTTAAAAAAATTTGTACAAACAGTATGTTGCTGTGTTGCCTCGGCTGGTCTCAAACTCCTGGTCTCAGGCAATCCGACTGCTTCAGTCTGAAAGTGCTGGCACAAGCTACCATACCTGGAATTGTTTCTCTTTTAAGAAAAAATAGCTTTAAATCATTAATAGTAAAATAAAACAAAGAAAGGTATTGCGTAACGATAAAGGGTTCAATTCAACAAGAAGACTTAACTATCGTAAATGTAGATGCACCCAACTTTGGGGAACATAGAGTTATACAACAATTACTGCTAGAACTACAATAAGCCTCAAGTAGACACACAATAATAGTAGGGGAATGCAACTCCCCACTAAGTGTTTGACAGATTATCTAGGCAGAAACTTAACAAAGAAATTCTGGAGTTTGATTCGACACTTGATCAATTGAAACTAATAGACATTTATAGTATATGCAACACATCATCTAAAGAAAGTAAATTCTTCTCATCTGCTCACAGAATATGACAGGCCACAATGGAACAAAGATAAAAATCAATACCAAGAAAATCTCACAAAATCACAGAATGATATTGAAATTAAACAACTTGCTCCTGAATGAATTTTGGATAAACAAAAAAATTAAGGCAGAAAATTAAAAAGATTTTGAAATAGAAGAGACACAATATAACAAAATGTCTGGGTTGTAGGAAGAGCTCTGTTAAGAGGAAAGTTGAGAGTGCTAAATACCTGCATCAAGAAGTTAGAATGATCTCAAACTAACAATTTAACATCACACTTAGAGAAACTAGAAAAATAAAAACTAACTTACCCCAAAGCTAGCAGAATGGCAAAAATATTCATAACCTATGAACCTGACAAAATCTAATACTCAGAATCTATAAGAAACTTAAAGAATTCACAAGGAAAAAATTACCCCATGAAAAAGTGGGCAATAACAGACACTCTTCAAAAGAACACATACAAGTGGCCAAATAACATGAAAAAAGCTTATCATCACTAACCATCAAGGAAATGTAAATAAAAACCACAATAAGACACCATTGTACACCAGTTAGAATGGTTTTTGTTAAAAAGTAAAATGATAATAGATGTTGATGGGGTTTTAGAGGGAAAAAACCACTTATACACTGTTAATAGGAATGTAAATTAGTTCAGCCACTGTGGAGAACAGCTTGGAGATTTTCCAAATAACTGAGAGTTAAACTGTGATTCAACCCAGCAATTTCACCGCTGGGTATATACCCAAAAGAGAATAAACTATTCTACCAAAATAGCACATGCACTTGTTGGTTCATCACTACACTATTCATAAGAGGAAGGACCTGAATCAACCTACGTGCCTATTCATGGTAATTTTTTATTTTTTTGAGATGACGTCTCACTCTGTTGCCCAGGCTGGAGTGCAGTGGCACGATCTCAGCTCACTACAATCTCCACCTCCCAGGTTCAAGCAATTCTCCTTCCTCAGCCACCCGAGTAGCTGGGACTATAGGCGCATGCCACCAAGCCTGGCTAACTTTTGTATTTCCAGTACATACGGGGTTTCATTACGTTGTCCAGGATGGTCTCGATCTCCTGACCTCATGATCCACCCGCCTTGGCCTCCCACAGCACTGGGATTACAGGCATCAGCCACCATGTCCAGCCTATTGATGGTAAATTGAATTTAAAAAGTGTCACATGTACAGCAATACTACTTAGCAAAAACAAACAAAAAAAACCTCCTTTGCAGCAACGTTAACACAACTAAAGGCCATTATACAAAGCAAATTAATGCAGAAATGGAAAATGAAAATACTGCATATTCTCACTTATAAATGGAAATTAACACTGGGTACACATGGACAGAAAAACAAAAATAATAGACAACTCTTAGAGGGTGGAGAGAGGGAGGGACCAAGAACTGAAAAACTGTCTACTTAGTACTATGCTCACTACCTGATTGATGGAATTACTCATACTTCAAACCTCAGCATTATACAAAATACCCATGTAAAAAACCTGTGTAGGTACCTCCTAAATCTAAAATAAATTTGAAATTCTAAAAAGAGGTCTTACTCTCTCACCCAGACAGGAATACAATACGATGATTATAGCTCAATGCAGCCTCAAGTTCCTGGGGAACTCAAGGAATAATCTTACGTCAGCCTCCAACTTCCTGAGACTACAGGAACATTCCACAATGCCTGAGTAATCTGTGAAAATATTTTTTACCAATAGCTTGTCACAATATTGCCCGGGGTAGTGTCGAACTCCTGGATTTAAGTAATTGACAGGGTTTGGCTCTGTGTCCCCAATCAAATCTCATCTTAAATTGTAATAATCCCCACATGTCCTGGGAGGGACCCTGTGGGAGGTAATATTTTTATCAAAATATCAATGACATTTTTTCACAGAAATAGAAAAAATATTTTAAATTTATGTGGATCCACAAAAAACTCTGAATAGACAAATAACTTTGAGCAAAATAAGCAAAGCTAAAGGCATCACTTTATCAAACTTCAAAACTTGCTACAAAGCTATAGTAACCAAAAGAGCACTGTACTGGCATAAAAACAAACACATAGACTAATGTGCCCAAGAAGCCCAGAAGTTAGTTTATGCACCTAAAGCCAACTGATTGTCAACAAAATTGCCAAGAACACACTTTAGGGAAAAGCTAATTTCTTCAATAAATGATGCAGGGCCATTTAAATATTTAAATTCAGAAAAATTATACTAGACCCCTGTGCCTTGCCATATATGAAAATCAATTCAAACTAAAGACTTAAATGTAATGCTATCAATTATGAAACTATTAGAGAAAAACTAAAAAATGCTTTATAACATTCGACGGGGAAAGGATTATTAAAATAACATGTCAAAACATAGGCAACAAAATCAAAAATAAGCAAACAACATTATGTCAAACTAAAATGCTTTTCCATATTAAAAAAACTAAAAGATTGAAGAGACAGCTTAGGCAATAAAAGAAAATGCTTTCAGGCTATACATATGACAAAAGGCTAATATTCAGAATAAATAAGAAACTTTAAAATCTCAAAATAAAATACACTTATAATCTAATTAAAAAAATGCAAAAGATCTTAATAGATGTTTGTCAAAAAGTGATACAAAAATGGCTAACTGGAACATAAAAATATGTTCTACATTACTAATCACTAAGGAAATGAAAATCCAAACCACAATGAGGTACCGCCTCACTCCCATTTAGAATGGCTATAATAAAAATAAATAAATAAATAAAACAAGTACTAATGAGGATATAAAATGAGTGAATGTATACATTGTTGGTGGAATTGTAAATTAGTATGGCCACTATAGAAAATACTATGGAGGTTTCTGAAAGAAATTAAAAATAGATGTATTACATGATCCAGCAATTTTACTCCTGCATGTATATACAAAAGAAAGGATATCACTGTGTCAAAAAGATATTTGCATTTCCATGTTAGTTACAGAACTAGTTATAATAGCTTATATATGGAATCAATTCAAATGTACAGCAACAGATAAATGGATAAGGAAAATGTACTATATATGCACAGTGAAATACTATTCAGCTATAAGAAAGGATAAAATTCTGTCAGTTAAAAGAGCATGGATGAACCTTGAGCATACCATGTTAAGTAAAATAAGCCACATAGAGAAACACAAATACTTTATGATCTTATTATCTCACTCATTTGAGGAACCTGAAAAAAAGGGTTGATATAAGCAAAGAGTACAACAGGGGTTCCCAGAGACTGAAGCAGGGAGATGGGAAAAGGCAGCTTCAAAAGTATTGTGTTACAATTAGATAGGAGAAATAAGTTTTTGTTTTTTGTTACACAGCAGAATAATAATAATTAATGAAAAGTTATCTCAAATTACAAAATAGCTAAAAGAGACCAGTTGTGGTGGCACATTCCTGCCATCCATACATTTTGGGAGAATGAGGTAGGAGAATCACTTGATGTCAGAAGTTCAAGATGAGCCTGGACAACATAGTGTGACCCTGTCTCTATGAAAAATTAAAACATTATCCAGGCATGGAGGCAGGTTCCTGTAGTCTCAGCTAATTGGGAAGCTGAGGTTAGAAGATTGTTTGAGGTTACAGTGAGCTAGGATTGCACCACTGCACTCCAATCTGTGTGTTAGAGCAAGATCCTGTCTCTAAAAAAAGTTAATATATAAAGATATAAAAAAATAGCTAGAGAAGAAGCTTTTGAATGTTCTCACCACAAAAATAACAAATGTATGAGGCAATAATTACACTAAGTACTCTGATTTTTATTGCTATACAACATATATACATAATTGTTTCCCCAAAATTTGTACAATTACATGTGTCAATTTTAAAATATGAAGACTATAATGTAAAATCTATAGCTGTAAAATTCCTAGCACAATACAGAAGGGTGAAGCTTCATGACAATTGGTCTCGGCAATAATTTGGGGGATGTAACATCAACGAATCAGACAACAAAAGCAAGGGAATACACATGGTACTAAATCAGTGTGTGAAAAATATCCCAAACAGGCAAAGCAGAACATGGAATAGATATATGCACATTTATGTACACTGTAGCATTACTCACAAACATACTACCTGGAAGCAAATGTACCTTTAAGGATGAGTAGATTCAACAAACAGGGCACGTATATTCACTGGATAGCATTCAGCCTTAAAAATAAGGAAATCTTGAAAAGTACTACAATAAGGACAAATCTCGAAAACATTCTGTTAAGTAAAACAAGACAGTCAAAAAGGAAAACTGTATAATTACACCTATGTAAAATATTTAGTCAAACTCAAAGAAACCAAGTGTTGTAGTCTCAGCAGTGCACCAAGATGTAACAGTCTCTCATAGTCTGAGATAGCATCGAAAGTTCTTTGTTCTACTTCTAGGGAGATTAAGGAGCGTGAACACAAAGGTGAGGTTAGAGTGAAAGTTTGATAAGCAAGAGAAGAAAGCTCTTTGCCAGCAGAGATAGTTTCTGAATGGGGTGACCTCTGTGAGGCTGGGGCCCAAGGTTTTTATGGACTGGGAAAGGAAGAGAAGGAAATGTGCCTAGTTAACAGGCTGTCTTGAAAAAAGTGTGGCTCAGCTTGGCCCAGGACTTTGACCCGGGACCAATCAGGAGCTGAAGGGATGATTCATAGATGCTATTTAGATTGGCCCAGGACTTATCAGAAGCTAAAGTGAAAGCTTGGCGCAGGAGCTTGTCCCGGGAGCAATCAGGGGCTGAAGTAATTATTCACAGAGGTCTGACTTACAGTCCAAATAAAGGAGAGTGTCGACCGGAATGCACCAGAGCCCACTGTGCTTATGCCCACAAAAGGAGAAGAAACATTTTCCTGGGAGCCCACTGACTGCACAAAGTACAAAGGCGTTTCTTTTTTTCTTTTTCTTTTCTTTCTTTCTTTCATTTTTGTTTTTGAGATGTACTTTCTTATTATTTATTAATTTATTTATTTTGAGACGTAGTTTTGCTCTTGTTGCCCAGGCTGGAGTGCAATGGTGCGATCTCGGCCCACAGCAAACTCCGCCACCTGGGTTTAAGTGATTCTCCTGCCTCAGCCTC
Source organism: Homo sapiens (assembly GCF_000001405.40). NCBI lineage: Eukaryota > Metazoa > Chordata > Mammalia > Primates > Hominidae > Homo > Homo sapiens. Next base: position 7,442,222 of record NC_000021.9, on the reverse strand, counting down.
CCAAGTAGCTGGGATTACAGGCATGAGGCACCATGCCCGGCTAATTTTGTATTTTTCTCCATGTTGGTCATGCTGGTCTCGAACTCCCGACCTCAGGTGATCCGCCCACTTCTGCCTCCCAAATTGCTGGAATTACGGGCATGAGCCACTGTGCCTGGACAAACAAAGGCATTTCTATGCCAGGTCGGTCTTGTTCCCTTATCTCAGTGAGCTGGAGGTTTGTACAAGTTTTTATCCAAATATGCCAGAGGTTTTTCTGTCTGTGCAGCCATGGGCAGGTCTCCAAGCACAACACCATGTGCTAGTTACCTTGTTAGTGTCTGCAGCTTGATTTTTTCCAGGATTCCTTTTATATTATGCAGGGATGAGACACTGACCCAAGGGCCAGGGACTTTCCAGGGACCCTTCTCTTGCTATCTAACTAAAGCAAGCTAACTAACTTGTTTCAGAATTAATGAGTATTCACTTTTACTTTTGTAAGACAAAAATTATCTAAAACCTATTGCAAAAAAAAATAGAACTATACTTACCACTTCTAAACCATATACTTAAAATGTTAGAAATGAAAATGGCATGTTTTTAACTACAATTAGAAATTTAGGACTACCTAAAAGGCACGGTTACAAAATCTTCAAACATCCCCTTCAAATAACAAAGGGTTCTTCTCACTTAATTATTTAGATTTAAACTATAAGTTGATTGTAAATTTAAGATTATTTCCCTGACTACTCACCAAGATAGAATAAAATAATCACTAGAAACCAAGAAAAGAGGGAAATTTATAGCACTAATGTCCACATCAAAAAGCTAGAAAGGGCCGGTCATGGTGGCTCATGCCTGTAATTCCAGCACTTTGGGAGGCTGGGGTAGGCAGATCACTTGAGACCAGGTGTTCAGGACCAGCCTGGCCAACAGCAAAACCATATCTCTACAAAAAAATACAAAAATTAGCTAGGTGTGGTGATTCACATCTGTAATCCCAGCTACTCAGGAGGCTGAGACAGCAGAAGTGACTTAAAACCGAGAAGTGGAGGTTGCAGTGAGCCGAGATTATGCCACTGTACTCCAGCCTGGGTGACAGAGTGAAACTCTCCCACAAGAAAAAAAAAAATTAGAAAGATCTAAAGTTAACAGCCTAACATCTTGGTTAAAAGAACAAGAAAACCAAGTGAAAACAAACCTGAAAGCTAGCAGAAGATAAGAAATAGCCAAGATCAGAGTAGAGCTGAAGGAGATAGAGACACTGAGAACTCTTCCAAAAAAAAAAAAAAAAAACTCAACCAATCCAGGAGCTGTTTTTATGAAAAAAAAAAAAATTTATAAACTAGATGGAACACTAGTTAGGCAAATAAATAAGAAAAGAAAGAACCAAACACAAATAGAAATAATAAGGGAGATATCATCACTGATCCCATGGAAATAAGAACAACGATCAGAGAATACTATAAACACCTCTATGCTCATAAACCAGAAAATCTAGAAGAAATGGACAATTTCCTTGCAAAATAAACTCTCTACAAGACTGAACCCTGAATAGATCAATAATGTGTTCTGAAATTGAGACAGTAAGAACTAGCCTACCAAGCAAGCTGAATTTGACTTGAGGTAAAGAGGAGATAGTACATTTTCTCCTAAAACTATCCAAAAAAAATTGAAGACAAAGAAGTTCTGTCTAACTCATTCTATCAGGCCAGCATCATCCTGATACCAAAACCTAACATAGATACAACAACAACAACAACAACACATCATGCCAATGTCTTTGATGAACACTGTGCAAACATCCTCAATAAAATACTGGCAAACCAAACCCAGCAGCACATTAAAAAGTGCATCCACCACAATGGAATTGGCTTTGTCTCCAGGATGCAAGGTTGATTCAACATATGCAAATCAACAAATGTGACTCATCACATAAAGAAAACTAAATAAAAAAACCACATGATTACCTCAATAGATGCAGAAAAAGCACCCAATAAAATTCAACATTCCTTCACGTTTAAAATTCTCAATAAATTAGGAACTGAAGAAACATACCTCAAAATAAGAAGAGCCATATACAACAAACCCACAGCCAATATCATACTGAATATGCAAAAGCTGGAAACATTCCCCCTGAAAACCGGCACAAGAAAAGTATGCTCTCTCTCACCACTCGCATTACAACTCCCATTCGGAAAACTTGTCCAGGAAAATCAGGCCAGAGGAAGAAATAAACAGTATTCAAATAGAAAGAGAGAAAGTCAAATTATCTTTGTTTACAGATGACCTGACCCTATATCTAGAAAGCCTCTTCGTCTCAGCCCCAAAGCTTCTTAAGGTGATAAGCAGCAGTAGCAAAATCTCAGGATATAAAATCAATCTGCAAAAGTAGCTAGCATTCCCATACACAAGCAACAGGCAAGCAGGGAGACAAATCATGAATGAACTTTCATTCACATTTGCTATAAAGAGAAAAAAATACCAAGGAATACAGCTAAGAAGGAAAGTGAAGGATATCTTCAAGGAGAACTACAAACAACTACTCAGAGGAATCAGAGTGGACACAAAACAAATGGAGAAACATTCCATGCTCACGGAGAGAAAGAATCAGTACCACGAATATGAGCATATTGCCCTAAGTAATTTATAGATTCAATGCTGTTCCCATTGAACTACTGACATTCTTCAGATAATTAGAAAAAAAAAACTTTTTAAAATTAAAATGGAACCAAAAAAGAGCCCAAATAGCCAAGCCAACCTTAAGAAAAAAAAAAAAAAAAGCTGAAAGGGTCATTGCCTAACTTCAAACTGTACTAGAAGAGTACAGTAACAAAAACAGCATGGTACTGGTATAGAAACAGACACATAGACAAATGAAACAAAATAGAGAGCATAGAAATAAAGCCAAAAACCTACAACAAACTGATCTTTGACAAAGTCAACAAAAACAAGGAATTAGGGAAAAGTCTCCCTATTCAATAAATAGTGCTAGGATAACTGGCTAGTCATGTGCAGAGAATTAAGACTGGAACCCTTCCTAACACCATAGACAAAAATTGACTCAAGATGGATTAAAGACTTGAATGTAAAACCCAAAACTATAAAAACCTTAGAAGAAAAAATCTAGAAAATACCATTCAGGATATAGTCATGAGGAAAGATTTGATGACAAAAAGACCAAAAGAAATAGCAACAAAAGCAAAAATTGACTAATGGGGTCTAATTAAACTAAAGAGATTCCACAGAGCCAAAGAAGCTATCATCAGAGCAGAGAAGCTAGAGAATGGGAGAAAAATTTTGCAACCTATTCATCTGACAAATATCTAATACCCAGAATCTATGAGGGACTTAAAATTTACAAGAGAAAAACAAACAACCCCATTAAAAAGTGGTCAAAGGACATGAACAGACATATCTCAAAAGAAGACATACATGTGCCCAACAAACATGGAAAGCTCAACATCACTGATAACTGGATAAATACACATCAAAACAACAATGAGATACCATCTCACACCAATTACAATGTCTATTAATAAAAAGTAAAAAAGAAATAAAAACAGATGCTGGTGAGGTTGTGGAGAAAAGGGAACACTTTTACACTGTTGGTGGGATTGTAAATTATTTCAAGCATTGTGGAAGAGAGTGTGGAGATTCCTCAAAGACCTAGAAGCAGAAATACCATTTGACCCAGCAATACTATTACTGGGCATACACCCAAAGGAATATAAATCTATTTTAAATAAACATGTATACATATGTTCATTGCAGCAATATTTACAATAGCAACGTCATGTAATCAATCTACATGCCCATCAATGATATACTGGATAAAGAAAATGTGGTACACATACACCATGGAACACTATGAAGCCATAAAATGTAATGAGATGATGTCCTTTGCAGGGACATGGTTGGAATTTGAAGCCATTACTCCCAGCAAACTAATGCAGGAACAGAAAACCAAACACCACCTATTATTATTCTAACTTATTAGCAGAAGCAGATCAATGAGAACACATGGACACATCAGGAAGAACAACACACACTGGACACCTGTTTCATGGCATGGGGGAGGGGAAGGAGAGCAGCAGGAAGAATAGCTGCGGATGCTGGGCTTAGTACCTGGGTGATGAGATGATCTGTGCAGTAAAGCACAATGGCACACGTTTATCTATGTAAGAGACCTGCATATCCTGCACATGGACCCCTAAACTTAAAATAAAAGTTGAAAAAAAAGCTTATCACATATGGACCACTGAACTTAAAATAAAACTTGAAAAAACATGAGTATGAGGTGGATTCCCTAGGTTAGACCCAAACTGAAGATCCTGAAGCTCCTGCTGGGGGATTTGGGGCTGGGGGCACCCTGGGGAGCTGCTGCCAAGGCCATCCACCGTCCCTACAGGCCGCCTCTCTTCCCGGCCTGTGATGGAAAGGAGAAGGGGTATGTGAACAGCTGTGGAAGTCAGACTCTCGGGAACTGAATCAGGCCCCAGCCCATGCCCCCCAGCCCAGTCCAGCCAACGTGCCCGCTGTCTTCCCACCCAGCCAGCCGAGCCCTCAGGATTGTTAGATGGAACCAGGCTCCATCACCACCCAGGCATGGAGGGAAGATGCCCTGGTCCTTAGCAAGCAAGGCCTGGTTTCCAAAGTGCTCTCCGAAGAGGCCTCATGTTTGTGACATCTTAGAAGGTACCTTTCTGCTGTTCTTGCACCCAGCATGTTGGCAAGTCAAGTTCCCCCACTGAGTTCTCCACACATAAGGAGGGAGTCAACACCATTGCTAAGTCGGATCAGCTCAAGTGTCTCCAGTATCAGTTTTATCAGATCCCAGGGACCTGCCTGCTCCCAGAGGTGACAGAGAAAAATCAAGGAACGATCTGTATGGTCACTGACATGGATGAAACCCTTGTGCATAGCTCCATTAAGCCAATCAGCAATGCTGACTGCCTAGTGACTGTAAAGATTGAGGGGACCATGAGGCCTTATATGGATGAGTTCCTGAGATGACTGGAGGAACTGTTTAAATGTGTTTTCTTCATTGCTCTCTTCATTCCAGACTGAACAAGTATGCAGATCCTGTTGAGAGGTGACAGCGTGCTGGCAGTCCTCACAACCCTTGCTCACTCTCCGGGCCTCCTCTGCCTGGGCTCCAACTTTGGCGGCACTTTAGGAGCCCTTCAGCCTGTCGCTGCACTGTGGGAGCCCCTTTCTGGGCTGGCCAAGGTCGGAGCCGGCTCCCTCAGCTTGCGACGAGGTGTGGAGGGAGAGGTGCGTGTGGGAACCAGGGCGGCGTGCAGTGCTTGAAGGCCAGCGCGAGCTCGGCGGACCCCACACTCGGAGCCGCCGGCTGGCCCCACCGGCCCCAGGCAGTGAGGGGCTTAACACCTCGGCCAGCAGCTGCTGTGCTCAATTTGTCGCTGGGCCTTAGCTGCCATCCCACAGGGCAGGGCTTGGGTCCTGCAGCCCGCCATGCCTGAGCCTCCCCCCCATCGGTGGGCTCCTGTGTGCCCAAGCCTCCTGGATGAGTGTCGCCCCCTGCTCCACGGCACCCAGTCCCATCAACCACCCAAGGGCTGAGAAGTGCGGGTGCACAGTGCCAGACTGGCAGGCAGCTACACCTGCAGACCCTGTGGGGGATCCACTGGGTGAAGCCAGCTGGGCTCCTGAGTCTGGTAGGGACGTGGAGAAACTTTGTGTCTAGCTCAGGGATTGTAAATACACCAATCGGCACTCTGTATCTAGCTCAAGGTTTGTAAACATGCCAATCAGCACCCTGTGTCTAGCTCAGGGTTTGTGAATGCACCAATCAACACTCTGTATCTAGCTACACTGGTGGGGATGTGGAGAACCTTTGTGTCTAGCTCAGGGATTGTAAACACACCAATCAGCGCCCTGTGAAAAAAGACCACTCGGCTCTAACAATCAGCAAGATGTGGGTGGGGCCAGATAAGGGAATAAAAGTAGGCTGCCCCAGCCAGCAGTGGCAACCCACTCGGGTCCCCTTCCACACTGTGGAAGCTTTGTTCTTTTGCTCTTTGCAATAAATATTGCTGCTGCTCACTCTTTGGGTCCACAATGCCTTTATGAGCTGTAACACTCACTGTGAAGGTCCACAACTTCACTCCTGAAGCCAGCGAGACCACGAACCCACCTGGAGGAATGAACAACTCCAGATGTGCCACCTTAAGAGCTGTAACACTCACCGCGAACGTCTGCAGCTTCACTCCTGAGCCAGCGAGACCACGAGCCCACCAGAGGGAAGAAACTCTCAACACATCCGAATGTCAGAAGGAACAAACTCCAGACATGCCACCTTTAAGAACTGTAACACTCACCGTGAGGGTCTGTGGCTTCATTCTTGAAGTCAGTGAGAACAAGAACCCACCAATTCCAGACACATTGTGATGGGTGTGCTGGACCAGTGTGAGGTGTTCTGGGGTTGCCTAGCCCATGAGTCACGTTTGTTCCACCAGGGCTGCTATGTCAATGACCTCAGCCATCTGGGGAGGGACCTGAGGAAAACTCTCATCCTGGACAACTCGCCTGCTTCTTACGTCTTCCACACAGAGAATGCAGTGCCTGTGCAGTCCTGGTTTGATAACATTCCAGACAGCAGCTGCTGCACCTGATATCAGTCTTTGAGGACATGAGTGGAGCAGAGGGCATCTATACTAGCCTTGGGCAGCAGTGGGCCCTTAGCCTTTCCTGCTTCCCAGCAATGGCCATCACAGTAGGGGATTTTCCCACACTGTGCCTTTATGATCAGCCTGAAAGAATGAAGCCTGGAACACCTACCCACATGGGCCTGGAAACAGTGAGAAGTGATTGAAAAGAGCTTTAGGACAGCTTAGATTCCCAGTGGGTGAATGCCAGACCAAGGATACCCAGAGCTACCTGCCATCAAGTTTTTGGGTTCCCAAGATTGGGTGTGAGAGAAAGAAAGAGAGCATGTGTGTTTTGTGATGAACTGTGGGCCCAATATATAGTGTTTCAGTAGGGGAGAAGCTGAAGGACAGAGACTCTTCCCAAGTTAGCTTTGTCTCCTCTCCTGTCACCCTATGAGACCCTGAGTTCCATAGGGATGAAGACTGTTGAAGGCTCCATTGCAAACCTGGTCTTTCTTCAGTGCTGCAAGGCCTATGCCAAGGAGAAAGGAAAAGTATGTCTTTGGGTGTTCCAGACACACATCTTTCTGAAATATTTCTCCAGCCAGTTGTTGCAGACAAAAGATGATATTTCTGGGAAGATGGGGACTTATGTCCAGACCAGTACCCAAACCATCAGGTCTTGTGGCCTAAAGGCTATGCTTACTTAAGTCCAGCCAAGTGCCTGGGATGGATCCTTTCTGCATCTCCTCAAGACTCACCACTTAGGCATAGCCTCAAACCTGTGGGGAAGGAAGTTGTCTCCCCACCCTGCAAGAGGACAAATAACTGATTTCTCTTCTTTCGACTCTGTTTTAAAATTCTCTTAAAAAAAAAAAAAGCCTATCTGAAACTGAAAAGAAAAAAACAAAAAAACAAGGAAAAAGATGTCATACTTACATAAGTGAAAAACATACAGATATATCTATAAGCAACAAACACAGCTAATTCACACATATATTAAACATCACATTGAGATAAAGTGTACCGAGCTAAAAATTATCTTTCAACTGATGATATCAAGCTTTAAAATAAAAATACATTTAACTGATCTGAGAAAACATAACTCCCAAGAAAAGAAACACAATAACACGGACTTGAAAATAAGAAGAGAGATTTTCGTGCATAAAATCCTGAATACAACATAGATTTACAATGGAAAATAACCGTTTTTTTTTTTATTTTTTTTTTTGAGACAGAGTCTTGCCCTGTTGCCCAGGCTGGAGTGCAGTGGCGCGATCTCGGCTCACTGCAAACTCTGTCCACTGAGTTCACGCCATTCTCCTGCCTCAGCCTCCTGAGTAGCTGGGGATACAGGCGCCTGCCACTATGCCCGGCTAATTTTTTGTATATTTAGTAGAGACGGGGTTTCACCATGTTAGTCAGGGTTGTCTCGATCTCCTGACCTCGTGATCCACCCGCCTTGGCCTCCCAAGGTGCTGGGAATACAGGCATGAGCCACCACAACCGGCCGAAAAATAATTCTTTAGATATCTACAGCATTCAACTGTGTGCACTCATGAAAAGCAGACAATTTAAGTCATTAGAATTTAATAAATTGCAGTAAAATTATACAGAAAATACATTACAATCATTAATAACAGGCTCTAATGAGAGGAATTTAATAAATAATCATTAAAAATACAGGATAATTTTATTATGTTCTCAATATGTTGCTGCACTTCTTACCACAAAACATAATAAAATTATATGACTATAATATAGATTTCAAGAGCTAAAAAAGCCTTATATTTCCAAATAAAAGAACAACATAAATTTTGCAAAATATGACGAGCATTACTGCAGTATAAAGTAAATATCTGGAATTAAAATATACCATCATTTAGATACAGACTAAAAAAAAGAATATAAATGTTAATGATTCCTTTCTGCCTGCAGTGAGCTTAAAATTACAACCAAAAATTTTAATAAATATGTAGCACCTACAAGACATTTTATTAATAGCTTACATAATGTGGAAATTTGAGCAATTTATTTTAGAATTTTTGAATCTAAAAATCACCAGCTTGACATTCATTTGAGAAAGTGAAACATAAAGGAGAGTAACATAAGCAAGACGACAGAATGGGAGGTTCGGCATGCACATCCCCCACAACATAATGCAGCTGCCACGGGAAACATAAGTGCATTCATGAAAGCCTTAGAATCCAGTTCAGAGTTTGTGACACCCAGCTGGAGGCAAAGACCAAGGAAGACATCTTTAGAGGGTAAGCACTTGACCAAGTGGCAAGCTTGCCAATCATGGTCCTCGGTTCAAAACAGAATACTACCACATCTTACTGTAAACTTGGCTATGACTCATTTGAACTTGGTCCTGCCACTGCAAAAATCTGTGAAAAACACAAAAGAATTCATACTCATCTGAGACTTAGGTGACAGGCCTGCAGAACTTGGTTCTCTCTATAGTCCCTGAATCAGGCAAAACACACCTTCTTTCCTTCTCCAGCCAAGGTCTGGAAGAAATCTTCACATTGATATGATGAAATGCTAACTAACAATATGAAAAATACTAAAGTATAAATGTCACTAAAAATGGTAAATACATACTGAAATTCAGAATACTCTAAATTGTTATCATCTTAAACTAGACTATTAAAATACAAGAGGTTTTACATAAGTCTCATGATAACCACTGGGGGAAAAAAAAACATAGTAAAGAAAAAGAGAAAGTAATTAAAGCATACACAAACAACAAAAATTACACATTGGATACAGTGGCTCCTGCTTATAATTCCAACACTTTTGGAGGCCAAGGTGGAAGAATCATAAGCTCCTTGGGTGTTGTGGTACATGTCCAAGTAGTCCAAGCTACTTGGGTGGCTAAGGGGGGAGGATTGCTTGAGCCCAGGAGATTGAGGCTACAGTGAGCTGTGATATGCCACTGAACTTCAGTCTGAGCAAGAAAGCATAACTTTGTCTCAACAAAAATGAACAATACCACAGGAAAGACAGAACCAGAAAAAAAAGAAGCAAACTTAAAATGGACAGAAAACTACAAATGTACAATAGTAACTGCTTACCTATCACTACCTTACAAATAAAAAGATTAAATTATCTACTAAACAGATACTTCTGTAGACTGAATGTCATCTCCAAAATTTAGGATAAAATGGCCAATGTGAAAGAATTAAGAGGTGGAACCTTTAAAAATTAATTAAGCTATAAGCACTCTGCCCTCATGAATGGATTAATGTTCTTATTATGGGAATGGGCTAATTTTAACAAGAATGGATCTGTTATATATTAAAAAAAAAAAAGCTGTCTCTCCCTCACATCTTTGGCCATGTTATTATCCAGCAACTAGACCTTCAACAGATACCAGTAACATGTTCTTTTACCTTCCCAGCCTCCAGAATCATGAGTCAAATAAAATTCTGTTCTTTATTAATTACCAGTCTGTGATATTCTGTTATAACAGCCAAAAGAGACTAAAGCAGACAGAGTGGATAAATGAAACTTTTAAACCTCGTAATATGCTGCTTACAAGAGACTCAATTATGAATTAAGAGCATAGGCTAAAAGTGAAAGGATAGAAAATGATATTCCATGCAAATAATAGCCAAAGGAGTTCAATGGTAGTTATGCTTAAATTAGACAAAATAGACTTTCTAGCAATGTCTCTCACAAGCATGAAATGAGTTTACCATACAATAATAATAGAGGTTAATTTGTCAAGTGAATATAGCTATATATATTTATGCACCCAAAAGGGAGGCTTCTAAATATAAAAAGCAAATATGGGCAGAACTGTAGGGAGAAGTAGAAAGAAATCCAATAATAGAAAACTTTAATGAAATGTATAATAAAGGACAAATAGTTAACAGCATTGTGAATTTGCAAGGGAAAGCTGTTCTCCTGTGTTGCATTTGAGAATGCAGCAAAGAAAGTGGGAACTGATAATTTTACCACAAGCCTGAGTTAGGCTGAAAAACAGGGTGGTCGATTAGAGGTTCCACTTGCCATATATTAAAAAAACACAGGAGAAAACCAGTCCTCCTCTGGAGTGTTAAAATAATTAAAGAGCAGAAAATTAGACTAAAGTGGCTCTAGTGTCCTGGGTTCATAGGTTAAAAAAAAAAAAACAAAAACTAAAACCTAACTCAAATACATTTCCTATAAAGCATTATCTTAGCCTGAAACAAAATGCACGTTTAACCAATGGCAAACATGCAATTAACCTCTGAATATGTAACCAGGACATTTCCATCTGGATAGTTCAAATAAGGTGACTACATAACTGGAACCAATTTTTGAATTTGGGCTGCTTTCTCATGCATCTTATGAAAGCCTTTCCTTTATGCCCCTCTGGTGGACCAGAAATCATGGCTGGGTGCTTTCCATTTCACCAATCACTGTTTGTTCAGATAAACTGGTTAACGTTTTAACATAGACTCCCGTTAATTTTTAACAAGAGAGACTGGGGACCCCACGGGCCGCAGCTCCTCCCACGCAAACACCCAGTGGCAGTTTTTCCCTGATGACCCACCAGGCCTCCCTGAACAATCTGGGAAATACTCATGGCTGTGGGCGCAGAGCAGGGCGCTGCCCAGGGACAGCACCGGATGGGCCAGGCCGGATGTGGGGGTCCTCGATGCTGGCCCAGCGGCCATCTTGCAGCCACAGGGGACTGAGGGCCAAGCTGCGGGAGACTCGGAGCTAACCGTGGGGGCCGGTCCTGCCGGTTTCACAGCCTGCTGTCCCCTCTCGGGATGCCGAACCCCGTATACTCACCATTTCCCAGCTTCCAGGATGTCCTGTCATCTTAACTGTGCGTCCCCAAGGACCTACAGATCACAGGGCAACAGGGGCTGTGAAAGAGTAGCCCGGGGCTCCCAAAGCGGAGGAGGCGAAAGAGGAGACGGATCCCAAGTTCCTGTGCCAGCGCCAGCAAGAGACAAAGACCCGCCAAACGCCAGAAGCCACGCCCTCCTCTCCTGTCCTCTCCAACTGCGCGCCTGATTGGGCTGTTCCCACATCAGTGTCAATGACTGGATAAAACTCCAGGACTCACCCACCCCCGCCTGACTCCTGCCCCTACCCCCACTCCCCCTCAGCCTTAGTGCATTTTTGTTAGTTTGTTTTACTTTAAGTTCTGGAATACATGTGCAGAACGTGCAGGTTTGTTACATAGGTTTACATGTGCCATGGTGGTTTGCTGCTTCTATCAACCTGACGTCTAGGATTTAAGCCCCATATGCATTAGGTATTTGTCCTAATTTTCTCCCTCCCCTTGACCTCAACACCCTAACAGGCCCCAGTGTGTGATGTTTTGTTCCCGGTGTCCATGTGTTCTCATTGTTCAACTCCCACATATGAGTGAGAACATATGGTGTTCTGTTTCCTGTTCCCGTGTTAGTTTGCTGAAGAGAATGGTTTCCAGTGTCATTCACGTCCCTGCAAAGGACATGAACTCATTCTTTTTATGGCTGAATATTATTTCATGGTGTATATGTGCCACATTTTCTTTTTCCAGTCTATCAATGATGGGCATTAGGTTGGTTCCAAGTCTTTGTTATTGTAAACAGTGCTGCAATAGATATATGAGTGCATGTGTCTTTATGCTAGAATGATTTATATTCCTTTGGGTATATAACCAGTAATGAGATTGCTGGGTCAAATGGTATTTCTGGTTCTAGATACTTAGGGAATCACCACACTGTCTTCCATAATGGTTGAAGTAATTTACACTCCCGCCCCCAGCAGTGTAAAAGCGTTTCTATTTCTCCATAGCCTCATCAGCATCTGTTGTTCCTGACATTTTAATAACTGCCATTCCAAATGGTGTGAGATGGTATCCCATTGTGGTTTTGATTTGCATTTCTCTAATCATCAGTGATGATGAGCTTTTTTCTTTTTCCTTTTTGTGTGTTTGTTGACCACATAAATGTCTTCTTCTTCTTCTTCTTCTTCTTCTTCTTCTTCTTCTTCTTCTTCTTCTTCTTCTTCTTCTTCTTCTTCCTCTTCTTCTTCTCCTTCTTCCTTTTCTTTTTATTTATTTTATTTATTATTATTTTAAAGACGGAGTCTAGCTCTGTCACCCAGGCTGGAGTGCAGTGGCAGGATCTCAGCTCACTGCAACATCTGCCACCCAGGTTCAAGTGATTCTCCTGCCTTATCCTCCCAAGAAGCTGGAATCACAGCCACCCGCCAAAACACCATGCTAATTTTTTGTGTTTTTAGTAGAGACATGGTTTCACCATGTTGCCCAGGCTAGTCTTGAACACCTGACCTCATGATCCACCTGCCTCCATGGCTGAAAGTGCTGGGATTACAGGCTTGATCAACCACGCCCAGCCAAATGTCTTCTTTTGAGAATAGTCTGTTCATATTCTTTACTCACTTTTTGATGTTTTTTTTTTGTGTGTGTGTGAAATTAAGTTCCTTGTAGATTCTGGATATTAGACCTCTGACACATGGATAGATTGCAAAAATTTTCTGTCATTCTGTAGGTTGCCTGGTCACTCTGATGATAGATTCTTTTGCTGTGCAGAAGCTCGTTAGTTTAATTAGATCTCATTTGTCAATTTTAGCTTTTGTTGTGATTGCTTTTGGTATTTTATTCCTGAAGTCTTTGCTCATGCCTATGTCCTGAATGGTATTGCCTAGGTTTTCTTCTAGGGTTTTTGTGGTTTGGTGTTTTATATTTAAGACTTTAATCCATCTTGAGATAATGTTTGTATAAGATGTAAAGAAGGGGTCCAGTTTCTGTTTTCTGAATGTGGCTAGCCAGTTCTTTCAGCACCATTTGGTAAGTAGTAAATCTTTCTCCATTGCTTGTTTTTGTCAGGTTTGTTAGAGATCAGATGGTTGTAGATGTGTGATGTTATTACTGAGGCCTCTGTTCTGTTCCATTGGTCTATATATCTGTTTTGGTATTAGTACTGTGCTGTTTTGGTTACTGCAGCCTTGTAGTATAGTTTGAAGTCGGGTAGCAAGATGCCCCAAGCTTTGGTGTTTTTGCTTAGGATTGTTTTGGGTTGACAGGCACACAGGCTCGTATAGTTGGGGTCACCTGCCCAGAGTATCACAGCTAATTAAGAAGTGAGCTGAGACTTGAAATGCACATGCTCCTTCCCTTACCTGGGTCTGTTGTATAATGCATCTTAGCAGCTATTTAACAGTAGGAATTAGAACATTTGGACATCTTTTTAACAACTTTTTAACCTGCATTTTGATAATGCAGGAAAGACCTTCATCCCGTCCCTGAGCCCCTCTCTCACCACGCTACATCCCACTGCTGACCACATTGTAGGGTAGCCATTAGGAATCAGGCGGGCAGTGGGGGCTGGGAATAAATAAGCAAGGATTATGCTGCCCAAATTTGCTCATCTTAGAAAGTCTCCTCAACCATTCTGTGTGAAGTGATTATTCCAGGGTAATTGTGGCCTGACTGCGCTGCATGTCAGTCTGACTTGTCTTTTTGAAAATCACTGGATTACTCTCATGAACGGGGGTATTTCTCTTTCTATTTGAAAACGGCCAACTGTCCTCTGCAGGTGTCCTGATTTGCTAGTTTAGACCCTGAAGGTAGCGGTGAGAAAATATTTGGGCCACAACAGAATACCTATTCTCAGCTGGAAGATATATAGAAATTTCTTAATAATATCTAACCATTTTCTCAATAACCATTATATTTAACATTGATAGCTTGGAGGGCAGGGAAGGACACAGATGACACAATCTTCAAAGTTTATTTATAAGTTTTTTTTTTTTGTTCTTGTTTAGTTTTGCTTAGTTTTTGGATACAAGGTCTTGTTCTGGTGCCCAGGGTGGAGGGCAGTGGCATAATGATAACTCATAATTTGGTTGTAACGGTTCTTTAAAATATATTTTTGCTGAGAGTGCTAGCTCACACCTGTAATCTAAACACTTTGGGTGGTCAAGGTGGGATTATCGTTTGATCCCAGGAGTGCAAGACGAGTCTGAGCAACATAAGTAGGCTCAGTCTCTAGAAAAATATTTAAAAATTGTCTGGGTGTAGCTTTGCATGCCTGTAGTCCCAGCTACTTGAGAGGCTGATTTGAAAGCATCACTGGAGCCTAAGAATTTGAAGATGCAGTGACCCATGATTCAGCCACTGCATTGACAGAGTGAGATATGTGTGTGTGTGTCTGTGTGTGTGTATAAAGAATTTGTATGTGAAAAAAATTCAAGCACAGGATAAAAGTGAAAGCCCATGGTGGGGGATGTGGAGAAAGGTCAGTGTGGCTCCAGCAACTCAGTGAGACTTGGTTTTCCATCTTGAAGAATTGCCCATCCACACTGACACCATAGCCTAACATATGCCAGTTCTCACACTACACCTGCTGGGATACCAGTATGTAGCCTTTTGAAAAAAATAAAATCTTTCACCTAAGAGAAGGACAAGAGAAAACGAGGGTTTCACATCTAAAGCCTTCATTTTCTTTATGAATCAACAGCCACTTGTCATTTCAATTGTCCAGAGGCGACTGACAGCACCAATACACTTAATGAATCAACCAGGAAAAATGGGCCTCTCAGGTGAGGAGGAGGCACAATGGTCACAAAACCCAATCCGTTCTCAGCTTTGCATGGTGCTCGCATCTCAAGAAGTGGTGTTAGCCATGTGAACCGTGTTCACTGGACAAGGCCAGAGGAAAGAATATTTAGTACAACACAACTATGGGGCTGCAAATCAAACTGGTAGTGAGAGCATGCATGAGGCTTCAGTGGCCGAGACACTGGTGGCTACCCTTCGGTGTCACTTAAACCTTTGAGGTGAAGGACGTTTATTTTCCCCAATTGGCTCAGAGAAACTAATCAACATTAATATTGAGATTTGTTTTTCTTTTCAAAATTTCTAAGACACAGAGGACTCTAACACTCCAAAAGACATTCAGATATTCTTGCAGCTGAGGACTTGACTGCTCTGTAGAGGGATGGCAGAGCAGCAGCCACCAGCTTTAAGAGCTTTAAGCTCCTCCTCTTATAGGGAAAGGCCACCCCCACACAACCCCCCTAACTTCATAGGCTCTGGCTGTTAGGTGCACCTGGGGGACTGTCTTCCTCCCATCTCATTAGCTCTCCAAGACAGTTCAGCTCAATCTAAAACCTACCCTAAGATGGCGGTATGTAGACTCTCCTCCATTCTCCCAGCGCAGTGTGACTTCTGGAGAGTGCTCCCCCATCGTCTTACCTCAAATGATGTGAAAAGAGCTGGTTCCCGGGTAGTTAGATGTTCAGTGACCTAACAGGCCCAGCATGCGCAGGGCCTGGCCCCACAGCCTGGCACCTCTCTCCTACCTGGCCTTCACTTCGACCTTTTCTCTTCTGTCACCAATGTCAGGTGATGGTCACCAGTGCCACACTCTCATGAGCTTGGTAAGTAGCAGGGGTGTAAACCCCAACAGATTTCCTGTGACTCTACCCTCTTACCTCCCACTCAAGTGACATTATAAGCATAATTTTATATTTGATCTAATTTATGCATAACCTTTTTATAACATTTCTGACAACAGCCCACACAACCACATGAGTCTGGGTTACAGAACACACGGGCGAGGCTCGGGTAGCAGGTTTCACTTACTTTATTCCAATGTGAAATGAAGATTGATGATTTAAAAACAAGACAAAGTTGTTTATCAGCTGTGGGGTGGCTACACTTGCTAGCTCATGCTCACTTCCTTTGAAACAAGGTATCTGGACAGACCATATTCATAAGTAAGACTTCGCAAAACCTCAGACAGAAGTTCCAGTCAGACACAGCTCCCTCAGGCTCACAGGGTGGCAACCGCCTCCATGTTAGGCTCTGACAGCAGGCAAGGAAAGGAGCACAGGCAGCAGGGGACAGGGAGGGTCCGGGACTGTAGGGATCCCCAAATGCCCCAGAGCTATTCTCTGTAGAAGGGCACACGCAGGTCTCACTGTGTCAGTGCAGTGGCTGAATCATGGGTCACTGCAGCCTCAATCTCTTAGGCTCCAGTGATGCTTTCACCTCAGCCTCTCAAGTAGCTGTATGGCAAAAAGCCTCCTACTTTTTACTTAAAACCTGGACTTTAAGCCAGGTTGGGCCTGGGAATAGTGGCAGCAAAAGCAGCAGCCAAATGTATACACTTCAGATGTCTACACTCATGGGCACAGGCATATTCCACACTTGCTGGAACACGAGACGCCTGAGAGGCACCTGTTTCCCAGCTACTAACTGATGTCCACACACCCCATTCACGTGTCTTCATTTAGGTCTCTGCATCGTATATTTGCTCAGCCAGTGCAAACACATCTTCTAGGGGGCAACATTAATTGCAGCACCTGCCCCACTTGTTCTGGGAGGGAGTCAAGAGGAATCTGGTCAGCTCCTAATCCCCCAGGACAAAGGTGATGCCCCCTTTTCAGGACTTACATCCAGCAGCGTCATCTCGGGATGGGTTTTTCAAACACAAGCAGCATGAGGTAGCAAGCATGGTGTGACAGGCTCAGGGCCATGGGCAGCCGGCTTCTGGAGAAGCAGCACAGGGCAGGCACATCTGTGGGTGGCACCATGACAAGCCAAGACAGCCTCAGCCCCTAATCCCAACAGCTCCAGCCCAGATGGCATTCAAATCTTCCCGGATAATATGGGGGTGCCCGATGCCCATCACTCGCCCTCTCATTAGCACGGCCTTGTTGGTTACTCAGGGACTAAGGAGAGGGGGTGGGGGATGTAGATCCAGGGTGGGCACTGCCTCACAGCCAGAGTCCACCTGACTGCAGGCCAGCAAGCAAGCCCAAGCAGCTCAGCTCTAGTCACCTCTGGCTGCACTTTTTATGTGTAATTTACACAAAGGCAGCAAAAGGAGGTCAACATTAGCTGTTGTGACATGAAAGTCTATGCCTCATTAAGACCTTAAAATGCTATTGTCTTAAGCTCTCTTTACTCTAATAAAATTTATACAAATAAACACATACAAGGTGAACTACTATAAAGGAAATATTAGGATTTTTTAAACCCATAAACAGACATGAAAACAGTCACTGTTTGATTGCAGAGAAAGTGAGCTTCTAAAGCACCTGACCACAAAACAGCCTCACCAAACCCCAGGCAGGCCAGGCAGTCTGAACACTACAAGGCCACGTGATGGTCACAGAGGATGACAGCTCCCATGAGTATTGCAAGGCACTGTGTTAGCTTCTCACTCACAGTCTCAGAATACCCTGTGAGGGGAGGCCCCGTCTCACTAGAGCACAGGAGGTTCCTGAGCTCTTCCCAGAAAATGGTCATCAAACGATGGAGCAGGGGGAAGCCCAGACAGAACAAGTGAGTCCCTAGGGTCTCCTTAACCTCCCTCAGCTCCTCCACATGGGTTCCTGAGGGAAAGTGAGCAGTCTCCTAACCCCTTTGTTAGGGTTCCAGTCCTGCAGGTCTGGACTCTCTCATTTTATGCTACCATAGGGGATGACAATGCAACCCCAGGCTCCTTTTTTGCCATCCCTCAATGCCAGGCCAGGCCCAGAGCCATTTGCTGACACAGCCCAGGGGATGCTCAAGGCCCACCTCGGCACAGTCACCTGTAGTGTACTGAGATGAGCAAGGAGGTGCAAGTAGACACAAATCCCCATGGGCTTGGCCTCAGCTATGTTCCACAGGCTCAGGGCCTCGCAGAAGAGCTCACAGCCCTCCTTCAGGAAGCCTGCAGATCACACCCTCAGGGAGCAGTGCTCAGATGAGCAGGCAGGCCCCACATCCCCCACCCCATGACGCTCTGTTCCACTTTGCAGGCTTCTGCATTGGCCAGTCCCCACTGCTTTCTGGTGAGATGTCCGAGTTGAAGTGAGTGTTGAATGCCACACAGCTGATGGAGCTCACTGCCTTGCACATGTTGTAAAACACCTCCTGGTTACAAGGGTCAGCTGTGGAGACACAGCTTGATGGGAGGTAGGCCCACTCCACCATCAGTAGTGCTGGGTTGCCCTGATCTGCACCTTCCAGATACTTGCTGAGATATCTGCATGCTTCTCTAAGGGACTGGGTCACGAGACACCCCTGGCAAGGACCAGCTGGCAGAACAGGCTGGACACTCTCCTTCAGCCTCCCCAGCAGCCCTACCTGTGCTGTCATCTGTGCTGATGATCTCCGTGGTAAGATTATGGGAAACTTTTACAGCAAGTTTTCCTTTCTCACTTCCCTATCTTAATAACAGCACTGATAACTTTTAAGCCCTAGAAAGCTGGAACTGCAAGACACATGATCTTCTGCCTTAGAAGGTCCATGTTTGGGCAGTGTGTGCCCAGGTGAGAGCCCCATGGTTGTTAGTGGAAGCCGGGAGCTGGATGGGCCTGGCCCCATAGCCTAGTGAAAAGTGGGACCCTCTCCTTCCAGAGCATGGAAGTCTCAGAGGCTGGAAAAAGGTGCCTGAGTGGCCTGCCAAAAAGCATAAGGCTAGAAGGGCTGGAAGGAACCCCAACAGTCTTCAAGGTGCCTGAGAGGGCTGGGCTCATTCCAGCTTTCTTTGCTTTCATCCTGATAGCAAGAAAAC
This sequence comes from Homo sapiens, assembly GCF_000001405.40. Taxonomy (NCBI): domain Eukaryota; kingdom Metazoa; phylum Chordata; class Mammalia; order Primates; family Hominidae; genus Homo; species Homo sapiens. The sequence goes on along the minus strand of NC_000021.9, from coordinate 7,423,096 downwards.
CTGCTCACACATGGCAGGCGGGCCTGAGGCTACCATTCCCTCATCAGGGGCTATAGGCACTTTAATGTGGCTCTTTCTTGAAGCAGCTGCTCAGGCCGGTTCTCGAAGAGAAGTTCCCTCATTATCCACAGGTTCTTGTTCCAGCCCCGTGTCTGCAGAGGGACTAGGGAGGGAGAAAATCTCTCAGCCTGTGCCCCACAACCTGCTCTGAGATATCTCTTTTGTTACTTCCTCACGGACAGCATCAAACTTCCAAATGAACAGACCAGCATGGAGCCTCCAGAAAAGTGCACAGAATTCTGTCTAGTACCCAGATGGAAGGGGGTTCCCAGTGAGGGCAGGGCCAGGCTGCATGCACCTCTTCAGGAATGTTCTCCTCATTGTCCAACTTCAAGGTGTGCATCCTCTGTGTGTATGCAGTCCATGGCAGGCTCTGCCTGGGGAACCGTCCAGCTGAACACCTGCAATGTGGTGGTGACCCTCTTGAATGAGTGGTTGTGGGCCCCATGGCAGTCATCAGAGAGGGAGATGCTTAGCCCACCAAGCCGAGAGCCCTGCCACAGCCTTCTGTGAGGCCTCCATCTGCTCTGGGTTCTTGCCCTGAAAGGCTGTCCTGAAGTCAAACAGAAGAAGGTGGGCCTCTCTTCCAGGGCTGCTCTTTATCCCACTGACAGCTCCCTAGAGGGCGACTAAGACAGCGGGGACAGATTCCTCAGGCAGAAGGACTGGAGTTTAGGCTGACGGGTTCATTCCATACCCCCACATGAGATGACACAAGGCAGGGGCTGTGGGACAAAGGCATTGCCTTTCCTTCTGGGATGAGGAATGGCATAGGAGACAGGGTATGGTGGGGCTGGGGTTGAGCGATGGGCTTCACTGAGTAAGTGTCCTGGTTATCTGTCCACAGACCCAGAACAAGTGGCATCCCAGGAGCCTGGGAGGGGCTGGCAGAGACTTACTGGTTCCAGCAAAAGCCCATGTGGATGCAGCAATGCTGCCTGCTGGTCCTTGGCTGTAATTACAAACAGGTACTTGAGGTCCCCATGCATCTTGCAGCTCTCAGAGAGTGTGTTCCAGCTGCTCATGGTAGGCACTTTTAGTCACTGAACGTGCTTCAGGAATGGCCAAGCTTGATTAAGCCAGGCGTCTTGCTGTGAGACCCTCCACCCAACTGAGGACCCTCTTCCTTGTTCCCCCTGGCAGTTTCACCTTCCAGTTCTGGTTCTAGAGACACGATGGCCCCTCTTGGGCCCCTGGGAGAATGTGCTCAGGTGACACACTGTCGACAGGGCCCATTTCCAAGCCATTCTTCCATTTCCCACTGTTTGAGGGGCTGAGGCCGGTGATCAGCACAGGGCCACCCAGGGCCAGCTGTCTGCACCTAAACATCATGCTGGTCTGGATGTCTCAGGGCCAGAACTCTCCAGGTGAGATGGCCTGGTCCTCAGCACCTGGCCTCCGTGCTCCTTTTTCCTCTGTTCAATCCTGGCCCCAATGCCTCCCGCAACTCTCAGGTCACCATTGGAGAAGATGCTCAGGAAGAACAAGAAGCTGCAGTCAACCCTGCTGAAGGTGGCATATGGGTCCAGGCTCTTGAGCTGGTCTTCGACATGGTACATGTGGATGCAGGCTTTGAGCAGTGTGAGTAGCTCTTTCCGGAAGGAGGGGAAAACGGTGTTTCCAGGGTCCTACACCCTAGAACGACCCATCTAGCACAGAAAACAGTTTGCAACGTGCTATCATGTGTGATTTTAATTTTCAACTTTAGGCTTTCATTTTCAATTTCCACAATAAACACATAAGGTGGGGTTCTGATTTCAACACACACACATTCTCTCTCTCTCCCTCTCTCTTAGAATCTTCCAGTGCGTTCACACTGAAAGCCAAAGTCCTCCCAGAATCTTGTGAGAACCTAAATGATCTGAATAGTTTGTCATTGATTTTGGGGATCTGGGAAAATCTCTGCACATTTCTGGAGACCGCTGTTATGCCAATTTTAATAAATCTGTTGTGCTTCAATTCAGAAGTGTGTGAAGGGAGTTGTGGAGGAATTGGCATTTGGGTTAGAAATTCCAGGAACACCAGAGACAGATGACACCTGTTTTCTGCTTCATAATGTCAAGTTTTACGATGGCTAAAACCTAATTCTACAAGAAAATTAGACTGAAAAACTTTATAGGCAAAAATTATCTTATTAAATAGGAAAATCTAAGTATTTTATTTTAAAATTTCCTTTTTCTTAGTAGGACCTAATCATAGAAATGTAAACTCTATATGCCAACAGCCTCTACTGTAGGATGGTTTATTGTATGTACTCATTTTACTGATTTCTTACAAAAACTTTTTCCGTAAGGGAAATTAGAATATTGTTCAACATATATTGAATTCACAATTATTACTTTATTTCTCACTTAGTATTTTATGATTCTGTCTTCTTTAATATGAAGATTACTATGACTGTGTTTTCACTTTCTGAATTATCATGTGTCACATTTGTCTGTAATTTCCTTTCAGAAGTTGTAAAATAGCATGCTCAAATGTATATATTATGTATAAATTATATAATTTATAATTTATTAAAATATTTGGCTTGTATGTTTAATTGACTCTAGGCACAATGTTACTATTAGCATCTTCTTCCAGTTTTCCCAACTTTTATTTGACTAATAGTACAATTTATTTCCAATTTTTATTTTATATGTCAATGTTTTATACTGTATTTACAATATTTATATTGTTACCATATTTAGAAATGTAAGACTTTTCAATTAAAAGCTAGATTACAGCCTTATCGTTTTGTGTAAGAAAAGCAGCAATGCATCAGTAGCATAATTTAAAACTTTCTCTAGTATTACTTAAATGCTTATTCCTTAAAACTTTCTCATCACAGCTCTTTGTATTAATTATAATGTGTTTTCTCTGAAATGTTGTTGCCCTAACTGTATCCAAATAATTCAAAATTCATACTTTTCATAGATTCACAGGAAGAGTTAAAAATTGTAGTTACCTGGGATTCTTTTTCATTTGGACACTATGTTTATTCAGGATTTTATGGATTAAAGTTTCTCTTAATTATGTTTTATAATTTTATGTTTCTGTATTTTTTAGAGTAGGCTGTCTCACATCAGTTAATTGTGTTTTTACTTTCTACCTATTTATTATGATTTTGAATTTCATTATTCAAATAAGAATTTGGGGGTTAATGTTTATTTTAACTTTGTTTTGCAATTTTACATTTCTGTGTTTCATGTTTTAGGGTAGGGCACCTTATATTAGTTTATTGTTTTAAGTTTTAATTTGTATAATATAATATTGTATAACAATATTCAACTCTGTATGCATTAAGACAGTGTGGGGCAGAAGTCAAATATGAACCATCCCTATGTCTTTTGTTAATACAATGATTTAACTGTTTGTTTGCCTGTATAAATATTGCCCCTATTTTGTTTATGACTTTTATATTTTCTTCTTATTTGATGGCCAATAATTTATTCTGTCTAAGTGAGTAATCATGGAAATTGTCTTAATTTCAACATCTATTGTTTATATTATCTTAGTGTGAAGGAAAGATTTATGTGATTTGAAGATAATTTTTCAGAAACTTTGTAACTCTCTCCCTTCGGGTGTCTTTTTTTTTTTTTTTTTTTCTTTTGACAGACTCTCACCCTGTTGCCAAAGTGCAGTGGCACAATCTTGGATCACTGCAACCTCCACCTCCCAGGTTAAAGCAATTCTCCAGCTGCTGCCTCTTGAGTAGCTGGCATTAAAGTTCTGCACCACCGCGCCTGGCTAATTTTTGTATTTTTCATGAAGCTGGGGTTTCACCATGTTGGCCAGGCTGGTCTTGAACTTATGGCCTCAAGTAACCTGCATGCCTCAGCCTCCCAGAGTGCTGCGATTACAGGCATGAGTGATCACTCTTGGCCCTTGGGTGTCATTTTTAATTTCGATTGTGGTAAAAATACATAACATAAAATTTAGAATCTTTAATATTTTTTCTTATACAGTTCAGTCATGTTAAGTGTATTTACATTGTTAAGCAACATATTTGTAAAATTTTTTCTTTTGCAAAACTAAAACTCAGTACACATGAAATGACAACTACCCATTGTCCTTACCACCTGGCTCCTGATAAAAATCATTCTATTTTCTGGTTCTAAGTTTCAATACTTTAGATATTACATATAAGTAGAATCATAGAGTATCTGTTTTATTGTGACTAATTTTACTTAGCATTATGTTCTCAAGATTCCTCTTTATTGTGGATGGTACAAGATTTTCTGCCTTTAAAAGCTAAGTAATATTCCATTAGTTTTATATTACAAATTTTATTTATTTATTCATTCTATGAGGAAAATTTGTGTTGCTTTCACCTATTGGCATTTCTGAATAATGCTGCAATGAATATTGGTATGCAAATAGCTATTTGCTCATATGTGTGAGGTTTACATGTGTGCTACCTTCTGTTTTATTGGAAAAATTGTCTGTGTTTATGCCAGAAACAAACTGTTTTCATTGCTGTTGCTTTGTAATGTGCTTTGAAATCAGAAAAGGTGAGGTCACTAACATTGTTTTTTTTAAACATTTTGGGGCTCTTTATGGTCGCTTGAGATTCCATATAATTTGTTGGTTCCTTTTTCTATTTCAAAAAAAAAGTTCTTAATTTAAAAGGGATTGCATTGAATCTGTAACTCGCTTTAGACATCATAAGCATTATTCATAATATTAAGTCTTACAACCCTTAAACATGAGCATGCTCAAAAGTGAGTTGTTTAATTTCCATATATATGTTGCTATTTTTGTTTTCTTCTGTTATTCATTTCTAGTTTTATTCCATTTTGATCAGAAATAATAGCCATTGAAAGGCTAAACCACTCTGGGAAGTGACCCCCATTATAGAACATTACAAAGAGATGTGAGGGCACCACTTCTGCCCTGATGGGCTACTGGGATGAGTTCTCTTAGATGACACATTGCAGACAAATGTAGGAAACAATATAACCCCTTTTTCATGTAAACTCTTCCCTATTTTTGTAGAGTATTAGTGATAGTGGTGGCTTTCAAGTCTTGGAGAAAGTCTGGCAGTACCATGAACCTGCTTGCTACAGATGATATCAGAGGGGAATAATTAAAACTATACAAACTGTAGTAACATGAATAAATGCAGCCTAGTGTAAAGTAAAAACAACACAAAGGCCTTCTCTGATATTTCTACAAGAATGTAAAAAGGGACTTTACACTTAACCAAGTTGCCACTGGGACCAGTTAAGGCTAGATTTTTGGGGGGTAGATCTGAGGGTCACTCATGGAAATCCCCTAGGAGAAAGCGCAGAGAAATTCCATATTTGGGTCTGGATCCTGGACCCATCCTGGTTTTGTCAGGTCCCTCTCTGTAGAGAACCCCATGTGCCTGCTCTCAACATAACTCATTGTATGCCATGCTTGGGGGGTGTGGTGAACCTGCCAGTTGTCCAAGGAGATGGGGGACTTGAACCCATCAAATATCTGCTCACTGATTTTAATGCAGCTCTACAAAGAGTGTTCCCAGCAGCGAAAAAAGTTAATTGTCTTCTTTGTTTTTACCACCAGGTGACATCTGCATTAGAAATTCTGTTTCCTAGATCAGGAACATAGGAGTATCTGCATAGACCCCCAGCCAATGAGGAAACCCGAGGACAGCTTAAGGCCTTGGGATTCACATCTGAGTAGACGTACTTGGTCCGCAACTCACAACTTTTTATTCCACCAACCGTGACCTGGGTATGAACATGACAGACCCACCAGGGTTCCTGTGTCTTAAAACCTGCCCCTGTGAGGAAAAGCCCCCTCCTTTCCTGCTCCCCTTGCAACACAGGGTAATGGTAGGCAGGGTCGGGTTGCCCAGATTAGATGACACAGGTGGCCTGGCATGGACGGACCTGCCCTGGGCTAAACTGTGTTACCTGTGGGTGCCTCTTGTCGAATGGCCAGTGGTATCAAGGATGTAGGCTGAGCCAGTATGTATACTGTCAGAAAAGGCTCTCACTTTGAGCCTTTCTCAGGCAACAGCTTGGGAATATAACACAATGAGAACACAGTGCCCTCTCAAGCATCTCCCAAGAAGTTAGCTAGATACAGGGCTGTCTCTAGAATGTGGGTTTCTGGTTCCCAAAGTTCTAAATTCTGTTAGGTTTTGTCACAAGGGAAGTCTGTTAACTTCTTCAAGGTTTTATCCCCTGAGCCCTTTTCCTCCATAAATCTACGCAAAGTCCCTGCTGGGCTGCTGATTGCTCACCCTCCTCTCCCATGTCAACTCTTTACCTGTAAACAGTTATGCAAACACAATTATGTCCCTTAATTCCCAAAAAGTTCTAAATGCAGCCAGGGCCCCAGGTTTGAGAGAACAGAGTTGGGTTAAAATCTTCTTTTCCTTTTCATTTCTGTGACCATATGAAAATGACTGTGTGCTTCAGGTCTCCCCAGCCCTGAAGTATGCATAATGGGATTATGCTAACATCAACTTCCAAAAACAGTCTTTGGTGATATATGAGATAGAATGAATCAAAATCGGTTGGATGCAGTGGCTCTTGCTGTAATCTTAGCAGATTGGTAGACCAAGGCAGCTGGAACACTTAAGGCCAGGGGTTTGAAACCAGCCATGGCCAGCATGGCAAAAACCCTTCTCTACGAAAAATCCAAAAATTAGCCAGATGTGTTGATGCATGCCTGTAATCCCAGCCACTCAGGAGGCTGAGGTGTAAGAATCACTTGAGCCCAGGAAGCAGAGATTACATTGAGCCATGATCCTGCCACTGCACTCCAGCCTGGGTGACAGAGCGAGACTGTGTCTCAAAAAATATATATATATATAATGTATATAAATATTTTTATTTATATATTATATATAACTATATATATATCAATTATATATAACTATATATAATATATAAACTTATACATATATATCTTTATATATAAAAGATACATAGTTTATGTATCTTTATACATAAAAGATATATATTTTATATATATGGCCTTAATTTTCCATTCCACAGCAGAAGAGGTTGAAATTAAAAGAAAATCAGATACTGTCTTCTGGCATTAAATATTCCAGTGCTGTGCATTATATTTAGAATCATATGTATATGCCTCATCTCAGCCTATGTGGTGGGCACCCCCAACAAAGTCTCACAACAACACTAAGTTGTGAGTGACTCTGTTATTTTAAAACGCAGCTCACCTCTCAGTGCCTCAGAAGCAGGTACTATAACACCGGGTTTCTAACAGAGAGATGGGATTCCAGCTCAAGTCTGTTTCCCTGTGCTTACTTAAAGGTAGTAATATTCTCAGAAAGGTTTAGGAGGTAGGTTCTGGATTAGTACGGAATTGCTTAAAGGAAAAATGTATGGAAAATCACTGGGCATGAACAACTATTTTTTCTTGCTACACACAGATCACATGTGCAAATTTGGGGACAGTTAGTACAAAACATGTGATGGAAATTTGGGCTCTGACATCAGTGAGCTTATTTCACACAGACTCCAGTTGACCATATTGGTTCCGACCAATTTTAGCCACTTTTTAGAAGTCTCATAAGTGGAATAAATTTCATTCTTTCAACAAGTTGTATCTTTTCTTATCTGTCATTCTGCAAACTGAAGAATTTCTGTTAGTCATTGGATGAACTCTTTGGGGACCTGGTTCTAGTTTCTGTCAAAGGGAAAACAACAAATGTGATAGGTTATCACTTCTGACTTAGTTCAGACTTCTATACCAAAAAACATAGACTAGGCAACTTATAAATAAAAAACATTAGTTCTAGAGGCCAGAAATTTGAGATTGGGCTTCCAGCATGGTTGGGGTCTGGTAAGGACTCTCTTCTGAGTTTCAAACTCCAGACTTCAGGTTGTTTTCTCATTTAGCAGAGAGAGGGAGAGACAGCCTTCTGCGGTTTCTTTTACAAAGCCCGTAATCGCTATCATGAGGTCCTCATGCTTCGGACTTAATTACCTCTGACCTGCTAAGGCCATTACACTGGGGATTAAGGTTCTGGTATGTGAACATGGTGGGGAATCACATAGTCTTCTGCAACTTCCAAAGTTATATTTCTAAAACAGCTATTATTTTCCTCTTACTTGCTCTGTCCTGTGTGTCCTCTCTCAATCTCTCTGTCTCCCTTTCTCTCTTTTTCTCTGCATATGTCTGTCTATCTCTTTCATTTTTCATCTCTGTATTGTAATCCTCAAGATGAGGAAGTGATCTGCAGTGTCCTAAGATGCTCTAGGCACAGACCCACATGATAGAGAACTGAGGAGATGCCCAGGCCAATCGAGAGGAAGGAACTCGGGCTCTCAGTTCACACTGAATCGTGCCAGTTTCCATGAGGCAGATAGAAGGCTGATCTCTCCTCAAATCCAGCTTCAGTTGAAATCACAGCCCCAGCCTCGTAAGAGACCTTGAGGCAGAGGCACCCAACTAAGCTATATCGAGATTCTGGTTCACAAAAGTTGTGAGATAGTATTTGTTGTCAACATGTGCTAAAATTCAGGGAAATTTTGTCAGAGAGGGGCAAATGACTAATCTCCTCTTTCAGTCCCCAGGATCCTCCCTCCCCTCTTTTCCTTTCTTTCTCAGGCTGCCTGCCGCCACAATTGTCCCGTTATAACCTCCTCTGCTGAACTCACCTGTGCCTGTGAGTCTCTTCACAAAGAGTGGCTTTTCCCTGACACACTTTGCACACCTGCGCAGGACTGGCTCTCTGTTGTCATTCTGGTCACAACATAATGTCACCTCAGGGAGGCATTCATGTCCCCTCCAGGCAACCTCTCCCCAGCCCTCCCTCCCAACATTCTACTTTATTTCCATTATAAAATGCTCTTTTCTTTCACATGTACTTGCTTTAGTGTTTTTGTCCTGCCGTCCTCAGACTGTGGGCTCCCCGCGGGGAGGCAGGGATAACATAATCATTTTTGGTACCATAAGGTGAACCTACCAAGGTAGCTGCCACATGGTGAGTGCTAGGGGAAGAGTCGCTGAGTAAAATAACATGGAAAATCACAAAGCCCTTCTTCCCACTTTTGGCCACCCAATAATGTGGAGATCATGAATGATAACAGGAGCTGCAGGACCTCAGCCTGTCTCTCCCCCGGCTCCAGCTGCTCCAGTAAAGCCCAGCGGGCATAAGAAACACGGGGTCTGCCGCCACCTAGAGGCCTCCACTAGCCCTGAAGTCCCAGGTGGAAGCATCACAAAACAGGCACCTGCATTGGGGAATTCTCAAGGCAGTGGCTATTCAAGGACCCCTGGGAAAAGGAGCAGTATCTGAAGACTCCAAGGGCCATAAAAGTAACCTCGGAAACCTCCCTTGATTCCTATTTTCCTCAGCCTCTTTGAGTGTGCTGTGCACTCATTAAACACTTTAACAGCATTCAGAGACATTATTTTCTTCCACTTCTGAATGAGGACCTCAAGGACAGCCCAAAAATCTAGTATTTTTTCTGGGCCCCACACTCCAGAGCCCAGTGCATTGTCACATTCTGCTTTATTCCAAGTCCTCATCTGCCCACATCTCTAGGCCTCTCTCTTCTCTGAAGGACCTCTAGAACCTGAAAAGCCTCTTCCCAGAGTCTCAAAGCACAGTGAGTTACCAATGAAGAGCCAAGGGGAGCAGACACTTATGAGTATCTAGAATTCTTGGTATTATTCCTTTTGAGTACCCCTATTTATGAGAGAGAAAACGAAGGTTTTCTTTCCCGTAGCCTCACTTTATATCACATGGGGTGGTTGGGGGAGGGCATAGCTCATTTTAGTTCCAGGTGCCCATAGAGGTGGGAGTCACAACCCCTGTCCTGTCCTCTTGAAACAGCTGGGAAGATCCCCAGGCCTGGAAGAACCCAGGGAACCTGGAGGATCCTTCATCACATGCTGTCAGCTCCTGGTCATGTAGCTGGGGGAGTGGATGCCTCTGCCTCATGGCAAAGCTGCCTCTTCTATTTCTTCCCGTTTTGTCACTTCTCTGGTTTCCTCTTCTCTAACCTCACCTCCATGATCTCCACCTTAGAAGCCTGTGTGTGTGTGTGTGTGTGTGTGGTGTGTTTGTGTGTTCATGGCTGCACACCTATGTGAGAATAAGGAAGGGTAGAAAGCCCAGGTAGAAAGTAGACCACAGGGTTTTCCAGGACTTAAGAGCACTCATTTCCAAAGCAAACCTGATGGGTGGGGTGCATGCAAGGCCTTGGAAGCTGGATCCCTCCCTAATACTCTGTGCTCTTCCCAATTTCTGGGATATGGACCAGTCTTTGCCTTTTTTGGGGGCCTCAGTCTTCCTGTTGTAAAATGGATAGGTGGTCACAAAACTGCATAAACACATGCTCAGTGAAGACAGGGTGTCATGCTCAATACCAGATAGAATATTGGGATGGGGAGAGTTTGAGCAGACTTTTGTGTCCACGGTAGCTCAGGCCTCTGAACAGGGCAAATGCAGGTGAACATAAAGCACGGCACAGCCAGGTTTTCTTACCAGGGCTACGGGATGAAACAGTGCACCACAGGCTCTGTTCTGGAGGCTGGTCCCGCAAGATTTTCCCTCCTTCAACCAGCAACTGTTTGATGAATTTCATGTCCTGTGAAGCCCATATCCACCCCCATTACAGTGAGGGGCACAGGGCACTAGACCTGTAAAATAATGTCTTTTGCCTTTTTTTCTTTTCTTTTCTTTTTCTTTTTCTTTATCTTTTTCTTTTAACTGAGTGGCTGTTTCTTCTTTCTCTTTTTCTGTTTTGTTTGTTTTTTAACTAATTTTTAAGAGGTCTTTACAGGTCAGCTGTGGTGCCTCACATCTGTAATTTCAACACTTGAGAGGCTGAGGCGGGCGGATCATTTGAGGTCAGGAGTTAAAAACCAGCCTGGCCAACCTGGTGAAACCCCGTCTCTACTAAAATTACAAAAAATTAGCCGGGAATGGTGGCACAAGCCTGTAGCCCCAGCTACTCAGGAGGCTGAGACAGAAGAATTGCTGAAACTTGGGAGGCAGAGGTTGCAGTGAGCCGAGATTGCACGTCTGCACTCAAGACAGGGTGACAGAGTGAGTCTCTGTGGAAAAAAAAAAAAGAGAGAGAGAGAGGGAGAGAGAGAGTGCCCTTTATGGAAATGCGAGCCCATTTGTAATTTCATGAGTTGTAAATATTTATTCCAATTTGGGAATTTCTTTTCTTATTGTGGTGTTCTCTTTAAGTTTGTTTTGGATGTTATTAGTGTTTTGTTTTGCTTTGTTTCTATGTAACTTCTCCCTAAATTGATTCATAGATTTCCATTTTCACAATACAATATTTTGGCAGAAATCTTGTGGAAACTGTCTAATCAGTTTAAAAAATTTAAATACATATAAAAAATCGAAGAAATGTAAAAACTGTCCTGAAGAATAACAAAGTTTGTGAGCTTAAAATGACATATATTCAGACTTAGATTAAAGCTATAGTAATAAAAGCTATCTATGGTAGTAATGCAAAAATAGGCACAAAGAAAACTAGAAAAACTCGAGAGTCCAACTCAGACTCACACATTTGGACATTTTGTATATTACAAAACAGGCACAGAAGAGGAGTGAAGACAGTCTTCTCGGTAAATAGCCTTGAGTCAACCAGTTATTTATGTGAGAAAAAACACTCCTATCTTATATTATTAACAAATTCCAATGAAAAGTGGATTTTAAATTTTAAGGTCAAAGCTGAAAGCAATATTTCTAGTAGATAACATAGATAAATATGTCCATGACTGGCACAGGCCCAGATTTCTTGGGACACAAAATGCATTAATTCTCAAGACAAAAATATGACAAATTGGACTTTATTACAATTAAAACCTTCTCTTCATAAAAAAAACCTTCAGGAGAGCTGAAAGGCAAGAACAAAGTGGAAATCAACATTTGTCATATATTGATGTGGCAAAAGCCTTTTATCTAGTTTATTTAACTAAATCCCATCAATTAATAAACAAAGATGCAATACATTGAACAAAATTGACAAACATGTGACTAGGAGTTCCACATACAGAACCGAAGGGCCAACAAGTAGATGAACATATCCACATCCTTATGCATCAGAACAATGCATATGAAAACTACAATTGAATGCCACTATGCAATCATTCACATTTTTGAAAACTGACAAAATTAAGTACTAGTGATGATGTCAAGCAACTGGAACTTTCTTATACCATTCTGTGTGCAAACTGTTATAACGGCATTCAAAACCTCTTGAGTAGTAACTCCTTACATACACGATGTACATAAGCACACTCTAGGACCCAGCAACTCTGCTACTAGGTATATACACCCAATAGAAATGCCAGCATATTTTCCAATGCAGACAAATGCTCTAAGCAGCATTATTTGGTACTTTTCCAAACTGAAAAAAACTCAAATGTGCATCAGTAATAAAATAACTAAATAAAACAGCTACATATTCCTTTATAAGGGGACATTATACAGATATAAAATTAATTGGAGACATATTAAAATATACAAAAATCTAACAAATACAATTTAATTAGATTTAAAAGTCCTATCCACAGCAATCAGCCAATAGAAAAGAAAAAGGCATACAAATAGAAAAAAAAAATGAATTCTCTTTCTCCATTTGCATTATGAGTCACTACGTAGACAATGCTAAAGTCTTTCCAAAACTCCTTTTGGAGAAAACTTGAAAAGCCTCCTGAAATGGATAAGCAAGTAAAGTTTTAGGACACAAAACCAATGTACAAAAACCAGTAGTATTTCTATGCATCAACAACTTTGAATTCCTGAACATCTTCTGGTTTTATTGCATTTTCAATTTTTTCCCTCCATTAACTATACATTTTTTCTTTTTTCAGCTAAACTAATTTATTCTTCTGTATAATTTCACCTTGTTAATAAACCCCAGGCCAAAAAGTGGGAATAAAGTATTTGTCTGCATCCTGTTTCCTCATTTTGAAAACTAGTCTAGATGAAACCTATACTTGTTCTAGGGAGTTGGCATAGACAGCATTTATTTCCGTTCTCAGCAGTGATGCCAACCAGAAAGAGGGAGTTCCGCATTTTCACTTTGGTTAGACAGGACTCTGGATGGTTGTAGGGGAAAAGATCCAAACTCTAAGGGAGTCAAATCAGACATTGCAAAGATTTATACATTTACTCTGGGAGCAATTATTGTGTTAAATTTTGTGCAAAACACTGCGCAAAGAGCAATTAAAGTGAAAATTATTAAGGCATTACCTTTACCTTGGGAAACTCACACTAGTCAGATTCTCCGAACCCCAGAACATAACAACAACCTAGTAAAATCTTGTTCAGAGTGAAGAGAGGGTGGGAGCAGGAAGGTAAGATTAAAAATTAGGCTGGGTGAATGAGATAATTACCCCTAGTCAAGCAGTGGAAGTATGGATGGCTTTGGGATGGGTGAAGACAAAAGAATCTCAGCAGAGGGTGCAGATAAAAAAAGGCAGAAACACAGGAGGCTTATGCAGGAAGAGGAATGAGTTTGCTGGACTGGGGAGAGTGACAGTAAAAAGCAGAGGATAATAGGCATCTCTGGTCATCTAGGGACTATAGGGTGGATTAGTTGGGGGTTACAGAATCAGTGAGGTACTTTTTAACAGTAGGATGGGTAAATAAGAGCTATAATTTGGAATAATTATGTAGCAATGGTGGTTAGGAGCAATAGAAACTCAAAGTATTACATAAATATTTTTTTTCTTATTCTCCCACACAAGCGTTTTGCCTTTCCTCTTAAACTGAGAACGGAGTGGTTTGCTATGATGTTTTTAAATTCTCACAGACAAGCATTATTGTTTGCTGCCTTTTAGTAAAGGTTAGTTTTAACCAAATTAAAGAAGATTGAATGGATTTTCTTGCTCATAAGGGTTGAGTGCAATATCTCATACCTTCTACTAGTTTTCAGTATAACTGAAATAACAGAGTGTCAATACTCCATGGAGGGGTGTTCCGCTTGCTAAGGCTCCCTCCTCTGGGCTAGGCCTTCTACACCATGGCTGTCCTGCTGTGGCTGGAGCTGGAATTTGGATTGACCTCTGTGTGTCTTCCTAGCACACAATAGGTGTCCAATTAGCATGGGCAGAATCAAGCTCCTCCCTCTCACCATTTATTTCTCCATTTGTCCCTTGTTGGGAATGGAGAGTCCTGCCACTGAGTTCAGCCCAGGGTTGAAGTTCAAATCTCAGCTGATACTTGGTGGATGTTGACTTTTTTGAGAAGAACTTGGGAGAATAAAACATTATAAAGGCGCTGGCCAGGCACGGTGTCTCATGCCTGTATTCCTGGCATATTGATTGGCTGAGGAGATAGAATTGCTTGAGGCCAGGAATTTGATACCAGCCTTGTCAACATAGTGAGACCCCATTTATACAAAAAACTTGAAGCATTAAAAACATTTAGCCAGGTGTGATAGTTCCAAACTGTTGTCTCAGCTATGCTGGATATTGAGGCAGAGGATCACTTGAGCCAGGAGTTCTAGGCTGCGGTGAACTATGATCACGCTACTGCACTCCAAACAGGCAACCACGCAAGATGATTCAAAAATAAAATCTTTTATTATTCTTCACCCCTATAGTCTCTCCAGAACTTGTGCACTATGTAGCAGAAAGAATCAAACTCCCCAAGAGTTTGGTTCTTGCTCATGATTTGGTTTTCTGCTGCTTGGCTGCCCCGTCATGTCCCCATTTTGTATAAAATAAGAACCCCCCAGTGAAGTGGAGTTTCTCCCCAGCAGAGGGTCTCACCAAGGCCCCAAGACTGGCACTTTAGGTGGAGGCTTGCCTTTCAGCCTCTGAATAATAATTGATACTAAAATTGAGAAGTTTTCCAGACACCAGCTTCCTGAAAGGAGCATCCAGTCAGAAGACAAGATGAGGTCAGTAGCGAAGGTGACTCAGGCTGAGTGGGGAAGTCCACCAGCGTATCTGAAGACTGAGCTAGGGGAGGGTTTCCCTAATGTTCACTCCTTCTGCCCTCCATATATTCCTCTACTTTTCCCAAACTTCCCTCTGACATCCTCCAAACTTTCTATCTTCCCAGGGCTTTCTTGCCAGGGAGTCTAATGAAGTAAAAGCTTTAAAATTGCTTTGATTTTAAAAATAATTTTATTGATTCTTAAAATGTACCGACACAAAATTAGAATACCAATTCTTAAAATGCTTAAAAAGTAAATTAAGTGTAAGTTTACATTTAATTATCTTATTTGATTCCTAATTAAAATACAAAAAAAATTTTTTTTGAAACAAGGTCTTGCTCTGTCACCCAGACTGGAGTGCAGTGGTGAGATCTTGGGTTATTGCAACCTCCACCCCCTAGGTTCAAGCGATTCTCATGCGTCAGCCTCCCAAGTAGCTGGGACTACAAGCACACACCACCAATTGGCTATTTTTTGTGTTTTTAGTAGATATGAGGTTTTGCCATGGTGCCCATACTGGTCGCAAACTCCTGGTCTCAAGTGATTCACCCACCTCGGCCTCCCAAAATGCTGGGATTACAGGTTTGAGTCAACACACCTGACCTTAATTTTTTTTTTAAATTATAGGTAAATTTAAATTACTCAGAAATAGTCAGAATTAACCGTTGAATACCCTGAATCTTTTTCCCATGCATAAGCCTTTCTAATCTTTCTATTCAAATTTGGATTTGATTCGGTTCTAGTGTTTTAAAACCTGCTTTTTTCCTTCAAAGAAATGCAGACCATCTCACAGGCCAATGGACATCACAGATTTTCTGATGCTTAGAGGCTGACTGGTTGTTTATCTATGACCTCCCATAATGTACTTAAGTAACACCCTCTTGATGATGGGGTTAAGTTGTTGAAATTACCTTATCTTTTCTGAAGCACTACGTGGAAAATATTAGATCTTGAAAGAAACACATAAACCCATACCACACACTTCCTTTGAAATTCTCTGCTGCTTATTTAAAGAGATGTTTATTCCTGACTAAGGTCCTACATTACACTCTCTGTAGAACTTTTGGAAACTATAAAATTACAAGAGAATCAATAAAGCAATTTAATTTCTCACAGGATCCTGCTTCCTATAAGAAACACATCAATTCCTATAATTCGGCATATTTCCTCTCAATCATTTTTCTACACATTTTAAATTTTGAGCTCTAATGTATAAGTTTGGTTATACTTTTTAATGTGTGCCTTTCATTAATTTGTTTAATGTTATATCATCTCATAAGCACTTCTCCATGTGATAAAAAATTCTTTGTACATCCCATTTTTAATACATATATGTAGCTCCAAAGAAAAGGCATATCTTGTTTACTCTTCTAATCCCGTAGTATTCGAAAACTTTGTTTTTCCAATTCTTTGAGATAATAAACTGGTTAGGGTTAGTATTTTGGTCCCCATTTAAATTTTCTAAGAGTTGCCTTTCTACAAGTGGCTAAGTGACTGTTACAAGGAGAAGAGCCCTCCTGAAGGGGTGTGCCATGGGGTTGAGGCCTCCCTGCAAAGTGCCTTCCTTGTGGCAGATCCCCATGTGTCTTTCTAAAATCAGCACAGTCAGACTGAGAGTGATTGGAATTCTGCAGCTGTGAGCCCTCTCGAATCTTCCTTGAATTCAGATGCAACTAATCTCCTCCTTGGTGGACACCAGGAAGTAGGCTGTAGAGCATTCTGTGACCCTGAAGAATGACACGATGTTCTTGATGAAGAGGGTGGATATTCCTGAAGGAGAAATAATGTTTTCTCAACAGCAGAAGCAGATATCAAGTTTATTCAATGACTGGGTCATGGAAAATCCTGTTCTCTACAGGTTGATGCTACATTCCAGGCAAACCCACACCCTCGGTGTATGCCAGAGGCTTCAGAAACACAAAGGAGCTCATACAAGATGAGTGCCAGGCAGCTATGAAAAGAGCTGAGATTCTAAACCACAAATAAAGACAACTACGAATATAGGTGAGACGAAAAACTGTAAACCTTCTTAAGGGTGTACAACATGTAACAACGGCTCCCATTAGCTCATGTTTAGATACCAAGGAAATAATAGCAGGAATGTTTTATGTTCACATTCCAAACAAAACCTATTATCATTCTTTGTCAGTTCATTTAGTCCTGTTTTATTCATACTTGTTTTACTCTATCTTGTAAGCACATATGCTTCTCTGCTAGAATTAGAGAAATAACTTAGTCCACTGATAGTGTTTCAAAGTTATGTAAGTCATTCTATCAGAAGCCTGTTTATAGGAGTACTTGGTACAGTTATTTCTGTGGGTCTCTGAGATATTCTTATTTTGTTGAAGACAAAGCCCTGTGGCCTGGAACTGATTTGCAAGCACTTTTAGAAAAATAGCCGAGTACAACCAAAAGTATATACTAATGAAAAAGTAAGCCATGCTTTCAGGTATGTAGTTAGTTGATACACTAAAATATTCTTTTATATAATGCAAACAGCACTAACACTTTAAAAAATAGAATTATATTATGCACAGTGAGGGCACTGGAAATTTTTTTAAAAACTTTAATTTCTGGATTATTTACGTTAATAACAATTATGTAAAAAATTTAACCTAGGGGAAGCTAAGCATATGTCTTATTATTTAATATAACAATATGCAAAATAGGCACGTTTCCATATATGATACTAGGACATAAAGTGTGCTGATACAAATATGAAACATAAAATATAAGTAAGAAATAGAAAAAATGACCTGTGTATGTTGATTATTTATATGTGTTTATTACTATTTTTAGTAAATTAGATTATGTAAATATGTATTATATTTTAGGCAGCAGCAAATATTAACATATTTTTTAACGTGCAGCTTAGATAAGAATTGATGATTACAATTTATTAATATTAGCTACTTACGACAAACATTATGCAAAAAGAAACTCTAAAAATAATTTTGTATTAACTTTGAAAATTTTAAACTCTTTTCCACAGAAGTTTTTAAATTACAGACAATAAAATAGAAAGTTTATAAAAAAGAAAATGGTACTGAGAAATAGTTGGATTTTGATTCATTATTTTTTCTGAATATTAGTACTTGGAGCTTCACTGTTAATAATGCCAATAGGCTACACAAATTTTCTCTTCAGTAAAATGGCAAAACAGAAGGCATTCAATTTTTAAATATAAGATGCAATTTTATTACCTTTTTTCTATATAAAAGACACAAAATTTAGACCAATAAAAACAGAATTTCTTCCATGAAATTTCAAGAGCTGAGCTGAGCTGGGAAGAGCTAACCTGCTTAATATCAGAGTTTTAAATTAAAGCAAGAGGCCCACATCAAAGAAATAGTTATGCCTTTTTGTCTTCCTTTCTGTGATTGTGTTAAACAACAGGCAACATTAGATCAAGCACCGACTCCTCATTGTTCCATTTTTTCCTCATGGAAAAGCACCAGGAAAGGGTCAGATGGATCAGCACAAATATGGGGCACTGTCTCACTGCCGAGGTGGCACCCTCATAAAAAACAGGCCCGCAATTTTGTGGAAAAGGGGGCAGGAGAGCGTAGAGGAGAATGTATGAGCAAGATTAAAGAGAATTGAATATTAATAGGAATCTATAAAAATTATTATCAAAGTTCCATTTCTTCTCCAGAAACAGGGATCTGAACAAAAGTTTCTGAAGAAGGCCTCAACCAAAAGGCCCTCAGGAAGGTGCCCCTGAATCTAGATGCCTGGACTGGGAATGAAAATCTACATGTGAGCCTCAGTGGCCAAGATTTCCGGTATTGTTTATTTCAGCCCCTTAGAGACTGCAAAGCGCTGACATTTACATGCTTCTCCTACATGCACATGTCAGCAGCAGTGTGATAACCAATGCTTTCAAAGATATAATGTGGGTATGAGAGTTTCTGGCAAAAATTTAGATAATCTTATCTTTTCAACCTCAAATAACAATATATGCTGAGAAACTTCAAAGGCATGTACCTCCACAAATAATTTTTCAGGAAAGAATGAAGAAGCACAGCTGTAGAATAAAAATTAGGCTGGAAGTTGATGCTACCTGTGGGAATTGCTAATAATGGAAGCACAGGTTGTTAGAATTTAACGTGTCTGATTGGTGAATATAATGTCACAGCAGCATAGATGCAGGAGTACTTGGATCTGACTATGCTATCTAAAGCTAGAATCCTTACATTTTCAAAAGTTTAGAAAAATAGGTTAGTTAGTGGAGGTGGTATTTCTCCTCTTTGGTTGATTTGGAAATTAACACCAATCATCATATGAGTTTCTGGTTTATATGTACACTATGTGTTTTACTCAGGACAATTTAGGTAAATATATAGACTTAATCATTTTCAGGTGTCTGTAAAGGGTGCATTATTAACATTACAGATAACTTTTCACTGGAATAAAATACCTCGACCCAGAATCTTCAATGGCCCCATCAATTGAGGTCAGTCATTTATAATAAAATGAAGTCTACTATTCTTTTTAAAATATACAAAGTAAAAGTCATCAAGATCAAAGTTATTAAGAAACAAAATTATAAGAAAAACACAGCTGTACCATTACATCTTAAAAAATCCCAAAATTGTATATATACTGTAGAAATAATATAAGTAGTTATAATGTTTAAATATATTAGAGGAAAAGTTTAAAAGTAAGATCAAAATAAGTTATATTATCAAAATAATTAGGTAAAAATTTTAAATTTAAAGGATAGAATGCATAGAAAAATTACATAATTGAAAAAGAAATTATGAATTAGAAGATATGATGAAGTGAATATTTAGAAGTCCCAATAGGGATAAAACAAATAAACAATATGAAAAATTAAAATACATAAAAATCTAAAATAAGTCATGTTGTTTAAGTGCAAGTTCGAATAAATAAAATGGAGTGAATGTCAAATAGGGAATAAAAATATATAATTATTAAAATAATTAATTATAATAGCTTAAAGGCATTCTGATCAAAAGAAAAACAATAGTTAAAAGCATAATACCATAATAGAGAAAATCACGTAAAGCTATCTAAGATAAAATTCAAATTAATTATAAAGCAATGAAAAGAAACATATTTCTCAATATGTGAATAAGATCAAGAATCCAATAGGTTATGGTTTTCAAAGTTCTGAGGGAAAAACATGTAAATTTAAAATTACATATATTTGAAAAGTTATTTTCAGGTTTAAGGACAAAATGTAACTTAATACACAAATACAATGTAAGTATAATTACGTCAGTGAAATGCATTTAAAATTTGCTGAAAATTTAGTTTATAAAGAAAAACACTCTTCCTGAGAACAAACATTGAGATAAAATAAATGTGCAAACATCTAAATAGATGGAAACTATATTAACACTGTGTGAAATTATACACAATATGTGATATATCCATGTGAAGCATATTTATGGAAGCATAAAAGAAAATGTTATCCCAAGAGTTATATTAAATAAAAGAGTAAATTTGATAATAGATGAGTAACTTATTTTATATCAGTATAATGTATATTTAAGAGATTTTTGTCACTAAATTATTAAATATTGAGTGCAAATCCTATATACTGTTTGAACAATACTATTATTTTCTCAGCAAAGATCAGCACTGAAAGACTGACTCCTGCATAGCCACTGACCACAGCTTCTGGAACAACAAAAGCATTGAATCATTAATCCTGAATGTGGCCAATGAGCATGAGATGAGGAAATCTACCCAGTTCATGACCACAAAGCAACTCACCAGCAGCTGGATGGCCTGGGTAGCTTATTTCTCTGGAGAGACTTAGACAGTGACTCCTGATACAGAGATGCTGAGACTGCATTTTGTGCCTGGAGGAGAGAATTACCACGTGTGATTGAGAGCATCAGTGTTCCTCCAGAAGAGACATTTCTAAATGCTGCTAGTGTGAAAACCGAGCTTATGTTCACGTAGCCCCTGGGGGAAGAAAAACAGTAATATTTAACAGTACATTTTAAGAACCAATAAAATTATTTTTAAAATCAAAGCAATTTTAAAGCTTTTACTTCATTAGACTCCCTGGCAAGAAAGTCCTGGGAAGACAGAAAGTTTGTAGGATGTCAGAGGGAAGTTTGGGAAAAGTAGAGGAATGTACGGCCCACTCAGCCTGGGTCACCTTCGCTACTGACCTCATCTTGTCTCGACTGGGTGCTCCTTTCAGGAAGCTGGTGTCTGGAAAACTTCTCAATTTTAGTATCAATTATTATTCAGAGGTTGAAAGGCAAGCCTCCACCTAAAGTGCCAGTCCTGGGGCCTTGGTGAGACCCTCTGCTGGGGAGAAACTCCACTTCACCTGGGGGTTCTTATTTATACAAAATGGGGAAATGAGGGGGCAGCCAAGCAGCAGAAAACCAAATCATAAGCAAGAACCAAACTCTTGGGGAGTTTGATTCTTTCTGCTACATAGTGCACAAGTTCTGGAGAGACTATAGGGGTGAAGAATAATAAAAGATTTTATTTTTGAAACATCTTGCATAGTTGCCCTGGTTGGAGTGCAGCAGCACGATCATAGCTCCCTGTAGCCTAGAACTCCTGGCTCAAGTGATCCTCTGCCTCAATGTCCAGCATAGCTGAGACAACAGTTTGGAACTATCACACCAGGCTAAATGTTTTTAATGCTTCAAGTTTTTTGTATAAATGGGGTCTCACTATGTTGACAAGGCTGGTATCAAATTCCTGGCCTCAAGCAATTCTATCTCCTCAGCCAATCAATATGCCAGGAATACAGGCATGAGACACCGTGCCTGGCCAGCGCCTTTATAATGTTTTATTCTCCCAAGTTCTTCTCAAAAAAGTCAACATCCACCAAGTATCAGCTGAGATTTGAACTTCAACCCTGGGCTGAACTCAGTGGCAGGACTCTCCATTCCCAACAAGGGACAAATGGAGAAATAAATGGTGAGAGGGAGGAGCTTGATTCTGCCCATGCTAATTGGACACCTATTGTGTGCTAGGAAGACACACAGAGGTCAATCCAAATTCCAGCTCCAGCCACAGCAGGACAGCCATGGTGTAGAAGGCCTAGCCCAGAGGAGGGAGCCTTAGCAAGAGGAACACCCCTCCATGGAGTATTGACATTCTGTTACTTCAGTTATACTGAAAACTAGTAGAAGGTAAGAGATGTTGTACTCAACCATTATGATCAAGAAAATCCATTCAATCTTCTTTAATTTGGTTAAAATTAGCCTTTATTAAAAGGCAGCACAGAGTAATGCTTGCCTGTGAGAATTTAAAAACATCATAGCAAACCACTCCGTTCTCAGTTTAAGAGGGAAGGTGAAAGGCTTGTGTGGGAGAATAAGAAAAAAACATATTTATGTAATACTTTGAGTTTCTATTGCTCCTAACCACCATTGCTACATAATTATTCCAAATTATAGCTCTTATTTACCCATCCTACTGTTAAAAAGTACCTCACTGATTCTGTAACCCCCAACTAATCCACCCTATAGTCCCTAGATGACCAGAGATGCCTATTATCCTCTGCTTTTTACTGTCACTCTCCCCAGTCCAGCAAACTCATTCCTCTTCCTGCATAAGCCTCCTGTGTTTCTGCCTTTTTTTATCTGCACCCTCTGCTGAGATTCTTTTGTCTTCACCCATCCCAAAGCCATCCATACTTCCACTGCTTGACTAGGGGTAATTATCTCATTCACCCAGCCTAATTTTTAACCTTACCTTCCTGCTCCCACCCTCTCTTCACTCTGAACAAGATTTTACTAGGTTGTTGTTATGTTCTGGGGTTCGGAGAATCTGACTAGTGTGAGTTTCCCAAGGTAAAGGTAATGCCTTAATAATTTTCACTTTAATTGCTGTTTGCGCAGTGTTTTGCACAAAATTTAACACAATAATTGCTCCCGGAGTAAATGCATAAATCTTTGTAATATCCTATTTGGCTCCCTTAGAGTCTGAAACTTTTCCCCTTCAACCATCCAGAGTCCTGTCTAACCAAAGTGAAAATGGGGAACTCCCTCTTTCTGGCTGGCATCACTGCTGAGAACGGAAATAAATGCTGTCTATGCCAACTCCCTAGAACAAGTATAGGTTTCGTCTAGACTAGTTTTCAAAATGAGGAAACAGGATGCAGACAAATACTTTATTCCCACTTTTTGGCCTGGGGTTTATTAACAAGGTGAAATTATACAGAAGAATAAATTAGTTTAGCTGAAAAAAGAAAAAATGTATAGTTAATGGAGGGAAAAAATTGAAAATGCAATAAAACCAGAAGATGTTCAGGAATTCAAAGTTGTTGATGCATAGAAATGCTGCTTATTTTTGTACATTGGTTTTGTGTCCTAAAACTTTACTTGCTTATCCGTTTCAGGAGGCTTTTCAAGTTTTCCCCAAAAGTAGTTTTGGAGAGGCTTTAGCATTCTCTACGTAGTGACTCATATTGCAAATGGAGAAAGAGAATTCAATTTCTTTTTCTATTTGTATGCCTTTTTCTTTTTTATTGGCCGATTGCTCTGGATAGGACTTTTAAATCTAATTAAATTGTATTTGTTAGATTTTTGTATATTTTAATATGTCTCCAATTAATTTTATATCTGTATAATGTCCCCTTATAAAGGAATATGTAGCTGTTTTAGTTATTTATTTTATTATTGATGCACATTTGAGTTTTTTTCAGTTTGGAAAAGTACCAAATAATGCTACTTCGAGCACTTTACTACATTGGAAAATATGCTGGCAATTCTATTGGGTGTATATACCTAGTAGCAGAGTTGCTGGGTTCTAGAGTGTGCTTATGTACATCGTGTATGTAAGGAGTTACTACTCAAGTGGTTTTGAATGTGGTTATAACAGTTTGCACACAGAATGGTATAAGAAAGTTCCAGTTGCTTGACATCATCACTAATACTTAATTTTGTCAGTTTTCAAAAATGTTAATGATTGCATAGTGGTATTCAATTGTAGTTTTCATATGCATTGTTCTGATGCATAAGAATGTGGATATGTTCATCTACTTGTTGGCCCTTCGGTTCTGTATGTGGAACTCCTAGTCATATCTTTGCCAATTTTGTTCAATGTATGCATCTTTGTTTATTAAGTGATGGGATTTAGCTTAATAATCTAGATAAAAAGCTTTTGCCAGATCAATATATGACAAATGTTGATTTCCACTTTGTTCTTGCCTTTCAGCTCTCCTGAAGCTTTTTTTTTTATGAAGAGAAGGTTTTAATTCTAATAAAGTCCAATTTGTCATATTTTTGTCTTGATAATTTATGCATTTTGTGTCCCAAGAAATCTTGGCCTGTGCCAAAGTCATGGACATACTTATCTATGTTATCTACTAGAAATATTGTTTTCAATTTTCACCTTAAAATTTAAAATCCACTTGTCTCGAAATTTGTTAACAATATAAGATAGGTTTATTTCTTTCTCACATAAATAACCAGATGACCCAAGGCTAATTACCGAGATGCTGTCTTCTCTCCACTGCTCTTCTGTGCCTGTTTTGTAATATACAAAATGTCTAAATGTGTGAGTCTGAGTTGGACTCTCGAGTTTTTCTAGTTTTCTTTGTGCCTATTTTTGCATTACTACCATAGATAGCTTTTATTACTATAGCTTTAATCTAAGTCTGAATATATGGCATTGTAAGCTCACAAACTTTGTCATTCTTCAGGACAGTTTTTACAGTTCTTTGATTTTTTAATATGTATTTAAATTTTTAAACTGATTAGACAGTTTCCACAAGATTTCTGCCAAAATATTGTATTGTGAAAATGGAAATCAATAAATCAATTTGGGGAGAAACACTAATAACATCTAAACCAAACTTAAAGAGAACACCACAATAAGAAAAGAAATTGCAAAATTGGAATAAATATTTTCAACACATGAAATTACAAAGGGGCTCATGTTTCCATGAAGAGCACTCTCTCTCTCCCTCTCTCTCTCTCTTTTTTTTTTTTTTTTTACAGAGACTCACTCTGTCACCCAGTCTGGAGTGCAGTCGTGCAATCTCGGCTCACTGCAACCTCCGCCTCCCAAGTTTCAGCAATTCTTCTGTCTCAGCCTCCTGAGTAGCTGGGGCTACAGGCTTGGGCCACCATTCCCCGCTAATTTTTTTGTAAGTTTAGTAGAGACGGATTTTCACCAGGTTCGCCAGGCTGGTTTTGAACTCCTGACCTCAAATAATCCACCTGCCTCATCCTCCCAAAGTGTTGAAATTACAGGTGCGAGGCACCACAGCTGACCTGTAAAGACCTCTTAAAAATTAGTTAAAAAACAAACAAAACAGATAAAGAGAAAGAAGAAACATCCACTCAGTTAAAAAAAAAAAAAAGAAAAAGAAAAGAAAAGAAAAAAAGGCAAAAGACATTATTTTACAGGTCTAGTGCCCTGTGCCCCTCACTGTAATGGGGGTGGATATGGGCTTCACAGGACATGAAATTCATCAAACAGTTGCTGGTTGAAGGTGGGAAAATCTTGCGGGACCGACCTCAAGAGCAGATCCTGTGGTGCACTGTTTCATCCTGTAGCCCTGGAAAGAAAACCTGGCTGTGCTGTGCTTTATGTTTGCCTGCACTGGCCCTGTTCAGAGGCCTGAGCACGCATGGACACCTAAGTCTGCCCAAACTTTCCCCATCCCAATATTCTCTGTGGTATTGAGCATGACACCCTGTCTTCACTGAGCATGTGCTCATACAGTTTTGTAGCCAACTCTTTATTTTACAACAGGAAGACTGAGACCTCCCAAAAAGGCAAAGACTGGTCCAGATCCCACAAATTGGGCAAAGCACAGAGTATTAGGGAGGGATCCAGCTTCCTAGGCCTTGCATGCACCCCACCCATCAGGTTTGCTTTGGAAATGAGAGCCCATGAGTCCTGGAAAACCCTGTGCTCTACTTTCTACCTGGGCTTTCTACTCTTCAATGTTGTCACATAGGCGTGCAGGCATGCACACACAAACACATCACACACACACACACACACACACAGGCTTCTAAATTGGAGATCTAAAGTGGAGATTCTAAAGTGAGGTTAGGGAAGAGGAAACCAAAGAAGTGACAAAAGGGGAAGAAACAGTAGATGCAGCTTTGCCATGAGGCAGAGGCATCCACTCCCCCAGCTACATGACCAGGAGCTGACAGCATGCGATGAAGGATCCTCCAGGTTCCCTGGGTTCTTCCAAGCCTGGGGACTTTCCCAGCTGTTTCAAGAGGACAGGACTGGGGTTGTGACTCCCACTTCTGTGGGCACCTGGAACTAAAATGAGCTATGCCCTCCACCCACCACCCCGTGTGATATAAAGACAGGCTACGGGAAAGAAAGCCTTTGTTTTCTCCCTCATAAATAGGGGTACTGAGAAGGAATAATACCAAGGATTCTAGATACTCATAGGTGTCTGCCGCCCTTGGCTTTTCATTGGTAAATCACTGTGCTTTGAGACTCTGGGAAGAGGCTTTTCAGTTTCTAGAGGTCCTTCAGAGAAGAGAGAGGCCTAGAGACTTGGGCGGATGAGGACTTGGAATAAAGCACAATGTGACAATGCACTGGGCTCTGGAGTGTGGGGCCCAGAAAAAATACTAGTTTTTTGGGCTGTCCTTGAGGTCCTCATTCGGAAGTGGAAGAAAATAATGTCGCCGAATGCTGTTAAAATGTTTAATGAGTGCACAGCACACTCAAAGAGGCTGAGGAAAATAGGAATCAAGGGAGGCTTCCGAGGTCACTTTTATGGCCCTTGGAGCCTTCAGATACTGCTCCTTTTCCCAGGGGTCCCTGAAGAGCCACTGCCTTGAGAATTCCCCAGTGCAGGTACCTGTTTTGTGATGCTTCTGCCTGGGACTACAGTGCTAGCGGAGGTCTCTAGGTGGCTGCAGACCCCGTGTTTCTTGTGCCCGCTGGACTTGACTGGAGTAGCTGGAGCCGTGGGAGAGACAGGCTGAGGGCCTGCAGCTCCTGTTATCATTCTTGATCTCCACATTATTGGGTGACCGAAAGCAGGAAGGACTTTGTGATTTTCCATGTTATTTTACTCAGCGACTCTTCCCCTAGCACTCACCCTGTGGCAGCTACCTTGGTAGGTTCACCATGTGGTACCAAAAACGATTATGTTATCCCTGCATCCCCGCGGGGAGCCTACAGTCTGAGGACGGCAGGACAAAAACACTAAAGCAAGTACATGCGAAAGAAAAGAGCATTTTATAATGGAAATAAAGTAGAATGTTGGGAGGGAGGGCTGGGGAGAGGTTGCCTGGAGGAGACATGAATGCCTCCCTGAGGTGACATTATGTTGTGACGAGAATGACAACTGCGCAGGTGTGGAAAGTGTGTCAGGGAAAAGCCACTCTTTGTGAAAAGACTCAGAGGCACAAGTCAGTTTAGCAGAGGAGGTTATAAAGGGACAAGTGTGGCTGTAGGCAGCCTGAGAAAGAAAGGAAAAGAGGGGAGGGTGTATCCTGGGGCCTGAAAGAGGAGATTAGTCATTTGCCGCTCTCTGACAACATTGCCCTGAATTTTAGCACATTTTGACAACAAATACTATCTCACAATTTTTGTGAATCAGAATCTCGATATAGCTTAGTTGGGTGCCTCTGCCTCAAGGTCCCCTATGAGGCTGGGGCTGTGATTTCAACTGAAGCTGGATTTGGGGAGAGATCAGCCTCCAATCTGCCTCATGGAAATTGGCAGGATTCAGTGTGAACTGAGAACACCAGTTTCTTCCTGTTGATTGGCCTGGGCAGTTCCTCAGTTCTCTATCATGTGGGTCTGTGCCTAGAGCATCTTAGGACACTGGAGATCGCTTCCTCATCTTGAAGAATACAATAGAGAGATGGAAAATGAAAGAGATAGACAGACATATGCACAGAAAAAGAGAAAGGGAGACAGAGAGATTGAGAGACGAAACACAGGACAGAGCAAGTGGGAGGAAAATAATAGCTGTTTTGGAAATATAACTTTGGAAGTTGCAGTAGACTATGTGATTCCCCACCATATTCACATTCCAGAACATTAATCCCCAGTTTAATGGCCTTAGCAGGT
Source organism: Homo sapiens (assembly GCF_000001405.40). NCBI lineage: Eukaryota > Metazoa > Chordata > Mammalia > Primates > Hominidae > Homo > Homo sapiens. The sequence goes on along the minus strand of NC_000021.9, from coordinate 7,395,158 downwards.
CAGAGGTAATTAAGTCCTAAGCATGAGGCCCTCGTGGTAGAGATTACTGGCTTTGTAAAAGAAACCGCAGAAGGCTGTCTGTCCTTCTCTCTGCTAAATGAGAATACAACCTGAAGTCTGGAGTTCGAAACTCAGAAGAGAGTCCTTACCAGACCACAACCATGCTGGAAGCCAATCTCAAATTTCTAGCCTCCAGAACTAAAGTCTTTTGTTTATAAGTTGCCTAGTCTATGTTTTTTGGTATAGAAGCCTGAACTAAGTCAGAAGTGATAACCTATCACATTTGTTGTATTCTCTTTGACAGAAACTAGAACCAGGTCCCCAAAGAGTTCAACCAACGACTAGCAGAAATTCTTCAGTTTGCAGAATGACAGATAAGAAAAGATAGAACTTGTTGAAAGAATGAAATTTATTCCACTTATGAGACTTCTAAAAAGTGGCTAAAATTGGTTGGAACCAATATGGTCAACTGGAGTCTGTGTGAAATAAGCTCACTGATGTAAGAGCCCAAATTTCCATCACATGTTTTGTACTAACTGTCCCCAAATTTGCACATGACCTGTGTGTAGCAGGAAAAGATGGCTGTTCATGCCCAGTGACTTTCCATACATTTTTCCTTTCAGCAATTCCCTGCTAAACAAGAAGCCACCTCTTAAACCTTTCTGAGAATATTACTACCTTTAAGTAAGCACAGGGAAAGAGGCTTCAGCTGGAATCCAATGTCTTTGTTGGAAACCCGGTGTTATAGTACCGGCTTCTGAGGCACTGAGCGGTGAGCTGCGTTTTTAAATAACAGAGTCACTCACAACTTAGTGTTGTTGTGAGACTTTGTTGGGGGTGCCCACCACATAGGCTGAGATGAAGCATATACATGTGATTCCAAATATAATGCACAGCACTGGAATATTTAATGCCAGAATACAGTATCTGATTTTCTTTTGATTTCAACCTCTTCTGCTGTAGAATGGAAAAATAAGGCCATATATATAAAATATATATCTTTTATGTATACAGATATATGAAATATATATCTTTTATACATAAAGGTGTATATGTATAAGTTTATATATTATATATAATATATAAATATAAATTATATATACATAGTATATATATTTTTTTGAGACACAGTCTCGCTATGTCACCCAGGCTGGAGTGCAGAGGCATGATCAAGGCTCAATGTAATCTCTGCTTCCTTGGCTCAGGTGATTCTTACACCTCAGCCTCCTGAGTGGCTGGGATTACAGGCAAGCATCAACACATCTGGCTAATTTTTGCATTTTTAGTGGAGAAGGGTTTTTGCCATGCTGGCCATGGCTGGTTTCAAACCCCTGGCCTTAAGTGTTCCACCCATCTTGGTCTACCAATCTGCTAAGATTACAGGCAAGAGCAACTACATCCAACTGATTTTGATTCATTCTATCTCATATATCGCCAATGACTCTTTCTGGAAGTTGATGCTAGCCTAATCCCATTATGCATACTTCAGGGCTGGGGAGAACTGAAGCACACAGTCATTTTCATATGGTCACAGAAATGAAAAGGAAAAGAAGATTTTAATCCAACTCTGTTCTCTCAAACCTGGGGCCCTGGCTGTATTTAGATCTTTTTGGGGAGTAAGAGGCATAATTGTGTTTGCATAACTGTTTACAGGAAAAGAGTTGACATGGGAGATGAGGGTGAGCAATCAGCAGCCCAGTAGGGACTTTGCATAGATTTATGGAGGAAAAGGGCTCAGGGGATAAAACCTTGAAGAAGTTAACAGACTTCCCTTGTGACAGAACCTAACAGAATTTAGAACTTTGGGAAACAGAAACCCACATTCTAGAGAGAGCCCTCTATCTAGCTAATTTCATGGGAGATGCTTGAGAGAGTACTGTGTTCTCATTGTGTGCTATATTCCTAAGCTGTTGCCTGAGAAAGGTTCAAAGTGAGAGACTTTTCTGACCATATACATATTGGCTCAGCCCACATCCTTGATACCACTGGCCATTCAACAAGAGGCAAACAGAGGTAACACAGTGAAGCCCAGGTCAGGTCCGTCCATGCCAGGCCACCCGTGTCATCTAATCTGGGCAACCCGACCCTGTCTACCATTACCATGTGTTGCAGGGGGAGCAGGAAAGGAGGGGGCTCTTTCTCACAGGGGCAGGCTGTAAGGCATTGGAACCCTGGCGGCTATGTCATGTTCATACCCAGGTCATGGCTGGTGGAATAAAAAGTTGAGCATTGTGGACCAAGTGTGTCTACTCAGATGTGAATCCCAAGGCCTTAAGCTGTCCTCGGGTTTCCTCATTGGCTGGGGGTCTATGCAGATACTCCTATGTTCCTGATCTAGGAAACAGAATTTCTAATGGAGATGTCACCTGGTGGTAAAAACAAAGGAGATAATTAATTTTTTTTCTTTTTTCTTTTTTTTTTTTTCCTGCTTCACTGCTGGGAACACTCTCTGTAGAGTTTCATTAAAATCATTGAGCAGATATTTGATGGGTTCAAGTCCCCCATCTCCTTGGACAACTGGCAGGTTCACCACACCCCCAAGCATGGCATACAGTGAGTTACGGTGAGAGCAGGCACATGGGGGTCTCTACAGACAGGGGTCTGACAAAACCAGGATGGGCCCAGGATCCAGACCCAAATATGGAATTTCTCTGGGCTCTCTCTTAGGGGATTTCCATGAGTGACCCAAAGATGTGCCTCCCAAAAATCTAGCCTTAACTAGTCCCAAAGGCAGCTTGGTTAAGTGTAAAGTCCCTTTTTACATTCTTGTAGAAATATCAGAGAAGGCCTTTGTGTTGTTTTTACTTTACACTAGGCTGTATTTATTCATGTTTCTACAGTTTGTATGGTTTTAATTTTTCCCCCCTGGTATCACCTGTAGCAGGCAGGTTCACGGCACTGCCAGACCTTCCCCAAGACTTCAAAGCCACCACTATCACTAATACTCTAGAAAAATAAGGAAGAGTTTACATGAAAAGGGGGTTATATTGTTCCCTGCATTTGTCTGCAACGTGTCATCTCAGAGAACACATCCCTCTAGCCCATCAGGGCAGAAGTGGTGCCCTCACATCTCTTTGTAATGTTCTATAATGGGGGTCACTTCCCAGAGTGGTTTAGCCTTTCAGTGACTATTATTTCTGATCAAAATGGAATAAAACTAGAAATGAATAACAGAAGAAAACAAAAATAGCAACATATATATGGAAATTAAACAACTCACTTTTGAGCATGCTCATGTTTAAGGGTTGTAAGACTTGATATTATGAAGAATGCTCATGATGCCTAAAGCGAGTTACAGATTCAATGCAATCCCTTTTAAATTAGCAATGTTTTTGAAATAGAAAAAGGAACCAACAAATTATATGGAATGTCAAGCGACCATAAAGAGCCCAAAAATGTTTTAAAAAAAAACAATGTTAGCGGCCTCAATTTTCTGATTTCAAAGCACATTACAAAGCAACAGCAATGAAAACAGTTTGTTTCTAGCATAAAGACAGACAATTTTTCCAATAAAACAGAAGGTAGCACACATGTAAACCTCATACATATGAGCAAATAGCTATTTGCATACCAATATTCATTGCAGCATTATTCACAAAGGCCAATAGGTGAAAGCAACACAAACTTTCCTCATAGAATGAATAAATAAATATAATTTGTAATACAAAAGTAATGGAATATTACTCAGCTTTTAAAGGCAGAAAATCTTGTACCATCCACAATAAAGAGAAATCTTGAGAACATGATGCTAAGTAAAATTAGTCACAATAAAACAGATACTCTATGATTCTACTTATATGTAATATCTAAAGTATTGAAACTTAGAAACAGAAAATAGAATGATTTTTATCAGGAGCCAGGTTGTAAGGAAAATGGGTAGTTGTCATTTCATGTGTCCTGAGTTTCAGTTTTGCAAAAGAAAAAAGTTTTACAAATATGTTGCAAAGCAATGTAAATACATTAACATGACTGAACTGTATAAGAAAAAATATTAAAGATTCTAAATTTTATGTTATGTATTTTTACCACAATCGAAATTAAAAATGACACCCAAGGGCCAAGAGAGATGGCTCATGCCTGTAATCTCAGCACTCTGGGAGGCTGAGGCATGCAGATTACTTGAGGCCATGAGTTCAAGACCAGCCTGGCCAACATGGTGAAACCCCAGCTCTATGAAAAACACAAAAATTAACCAGGCGTGGTAGTGCACACTTTTAATGCCAGCTACTCAAGAGGCAGCAGCTGGAGAATTGCTTTAACCTGGGAGGTGGAGGTTGCAGTGAGCCAAGATTGTGCCACTGCACTTTGGCGACAGGGTGAGAGTCTGTCAAAAAATAAATAAGTAAAGACACCTGAAGAGAGAGAGTTACAAAGTTTTTGAAAAATTATCTTCAAATCGCATAAGTCTTTCTTTCACACTAGGATAATATAAACAATAGATGTTGAAATTAAGACAATTTCCATGATTACTCACTTAGACAGAATCAATTATTGTCCATCAAACAAGAAGAAAATACACAAGTCATAAACAAAATAGGGGCAATATTTATACAAGCAAACAAACAATTAAATCATTATATTAACAAAAGACCATAGGGATGCTTCATATTTTTTGCCTCACACTGTCTTAAGCTGTACAGATTTGAATATTGTCATAGAAAATTATATTATATAAATTCAAACTAAAAACAATAAACTGATGTAAGGTGCCCTACCCTAAAACATGAAACACAGAAATGCAAAATTGCAAAACAAACTTAAAAGAAACCTTCCCCGAATTCTTACTTGAATAATGTAATTCAAAATCATAATAAATAGGTAGAAAGTAAAAACACAATTAACTGCTGTGAGACAGCCTACTCTAAAAAATACAGAAACATAAATTCTAAAACATAATTAAGAGAAACTTTGATCTATAAAATCCTGAATAAACATAGTGTCCAACTGAAAAAGAATCCTAGGTAACTACAATTTTCAACTCTTCCTTTGAATCCATAAAAAGTATAAATTTTGAATTACTTGGATACAATTAGGGCAACAACATTTCAAAGAAACCATATTATAATTATTAAAAAGAGATGTGATGAGAAAGTTTTAAGGAATAAAAATTTAAGTAATACTAGAGAAAGTTTTAAATTATGCTACTGATGCATTGCTTCTTTCCTTACACAAAAGGGTAAGGCTGTAATCTAGCCTTTAATAGAAAGGTCTTACATTTTTACATATGGTAACAATATAAATATTGTAAATACAGTATAAAACATTGACAGATAAAATAAAAACTGGAAATAAATTGTACTATTAGTCAAATAAAAGTTGGGAAAACTGGAAGAAAATGCTAATAGTAATATTGTGCCTAGAGTCAATTAAACATACAAGCCAAATATTTTAATAATTAATTATATAATTGATACATAACATATACATTTGAGCATGCTGTTTTACAACTTCTCAAACTGAAATTACAGAAAAATGTGACACATGATAATTCAGAAAGTGAAAACACAGTCATAGTAATCTTCATATTAAAGAAAACAGAATCATAAAATAATAAGTGAGAAATAAGGTAATAATTGTGAATTCAATATATGTTGAACAATATTCTAATTTCTCTTACGGAAAAAGTTTTTGTAAGAAATCTGTAAAATGAGTACTTACAATAAACCATCCTACAGTAGAGGCTGTTGGCATACAGTGTTTAAATTTCTATGATTAGGTCCTACTAAGGAAAAGAAAATTTTAAAATAAAATAATTAGATTTTCCTATTTAATAAGATAATTTTTGCCTATAAAGTTTTTCAGTCTAATTTTTTTTGTAGAATTAGGTTTTAGCCTTCATAAAACTTGACATTATGAAGCAGAAAACAGGTGTCATCTGTCTCTGTTGTTCCTGGAATTTCTAACCCAAATGCCAATTCCTCCACAACTCCCCTCACACACTTCTGAATTGAAGCACAACAGATTTATTAAAAATGGCATAACAGCGGTCTCCAGAAATGTGCAGAGATTTTCCCAGATCCCTAAAAGCAATGACAAACTATTCAGATCATTTAGGTTCTCACAAGATTCTGGGAGGACTTCGGCTTTCAGTGTGAATTCACTGGAAGATTCTAAGAGAGAGGAAGAGAGAGAGAATGTGTGTGTGTGTGTGTGTGTGTGTGTGTGTGTGTGTGTGTGTGTTGAAATCAGAACCCCACCTTATGTGTTTATTGTGGAATTTGGAAATGAAAGCCTAAAGCCCAAAATTAAAATCACACATAATAGCACGTTGCAAACTGTTTTCTGTGCTAGATGGGTCGTTCTAGGGTGTAGGACCCTGGTAACACCGTTTTCCCCTCCTTCCGGAAAGAGCTACTCACACTGCTCAAAGCCTGCATCCACATGTACCATGTCGAAGACCAGCTCAAGAGCCTGGACCCATATGCCACCTTCAGCAGGGTTGACTGCAGCTCCTTGTTCTTCCTGAGCATCTTCTCCAATGGTGACCTGAGAGTTGCGGGAGGCATTGGGGCCAGGATTGAACAGAGGAAAAAGGAGCATGGAGGCCAGGTGCTGAGGACCAGGCCATCTTACCTGGAGAGTTCTGGCCCTGAGACATCCAGACCAACATGACGTTTAGGTGCAGACAGCTGGCCCTGGGTGGCCCTGTGCTGATCACCGGCCTCGGCCCCTCAAACAGTGGGAAATGGAAGAATGGCTTGGAAATGGGCCCTGTCGACTGTGTGTCATCTGAGCACATTCTCCCAGGGGCCCAAGAAGGGCCATCGTGTCTCCAGAACCAGAACTGGAAGGTAAACTGTCAGGGGGGACAAGGAAGAGGGTCCTCAGTTGGGTGGAGGGTCTCACAGCAAGACGCCTGGCTTAATCAAACTTGGCCATTCCTGAAGCACGTTCAGTGACTAAAAGTGCCTAACATGAGCAGCTGGAACCCACTCCCTGAGAGCTGCAAGATCCATGGGGACCTCATGTACCTGTTTGTAATTACAGACAAGGACCAGCAGGCAGCATTACCGCATCCACATGGGGCTTTTGCTGGACACAGTAAGTCTCTGCCAGCCCCTCCCAGGCTCCTGGGATGCCACTTGTTCTGGATCTGTGGACAGATAACCAGGATACTTGCTCAGTGTCCATCCACTCCTTGTGGCCTGAAGCCTATCGCTCAACCCTAGCCCCACCAGACCTGCTTCCTAAGGCATTCCTCTTGCCAGAAGGAAAGGCAATGCCTTTGTCCCACAGCCCCTGCCTTGTGTCATGTCATGTGGGGGTATGGAATGAATCGGCAGCCGAAACTCCTGTCCTTCTGCCTGAGAATTCTATCTTCTCTGTCTGAGTTACCCTCTAGGGAGCTGTCAGTGGGAGAGAGAGCAGCTGTGGAAGAGAGTCCCACCTGCTTCTGTTTGACTTCAGGGCAGCCTCTCAGGGCAAGAACCCAGAGCAGGTGGAGGCCTCACAGAAGCCTGTGGCAGGGCTCTGGGCTTGATGGGCTGAGCATCTCCCTATCTGCTGTCTGCAATGGGGCCCAGAACCATCCATTCAAGAGGGTCACCACCATATTGCAGGTGTGCAGCTGGACTGTTCCCAAGGCAGAGGCTGCCATGGACTGCAAGCACACAGAGGATGTACACCTTGAGCGTGGACTATGAGGAGAACATTTTTGAAGAGGTGCATGCAGCCTGGCCCTGCCTTCACTGGGAACCCCCTTCCTTCTGGGTACTAGACAGAATTCTGTACACTTTCCTGGAGGCTCCATTCTGGTCTGTTCATTTGGAAGTTTCAGGCTGTCTGTGAGGAAGTAACAAAAGAGATGTCTCAAAGCAGGTTGTGGGGCACAGGCTGAGCCCTTGTCTCCCTCCCTAGTCCCTCTGCAGACACGGGGCTGGAAGAAGGACCTGTGGATAATGAGGGAACTGCTCTTCGAGAACCGGCCTGAGCAGCTGCTTCAAGAAAGAGCCACATTAAAGGTGCCTATAGCCCCTGATGAGGGAATGGCAGCCTCAGGCCCGCCTGCCATCTGTGAGCAGGTTTTCTTGCTAACAGGATGAAAGCAAAGAAAGCTGGAATGAGCCCAGCCCTCTCAGGCAGCTTGAAGGCTGTTGGGGCTCTTTCCAGGCCTTCTAGCCTTATGCTTTTTGGCAGGCCACTTAGGCACCTTTTTCCAGCCTCTGAGACTTCCATGCTCTGGAAGGAGAGGGTCCCACTTTTCACTAGGCTATGGGGCAGGCCCATCCAGCTCCCGGCTGCCACTAACAACCATGGGGCTCTCACCTGGGCACCCACTGCCCAAACATGGCCCTTCTAAGGCAGAAGATCATGTGTCTTGCAGTTTCAGCTTGCTAGGGCTTAAAAGTTATCAGTGCTGTTATTAAGATAGGGAAGTGAGAAAGGAAAACTTGCTGTAAAAGTTTCCCATAATCTTACCACGGAGATCATCAGCACAGATGACAGCACAGGTGGGGCTGCTGGGGAGGCTGAGGGAGAGTGTCCAGCCTGTTCTGCCAGCTGGTCCTTGCCAGGGGTGTCTCGTGACCCAGTCCCTTAGAGAAGCATGCAGATATCTTAGCAAGTATCTGGAAGGTGCAGATCAGGGCAACCCAGCACCACTGATGGTGGAGTGGGCCTACCTCCCATCAAGCTGTGTCTCCACAGCTGACCCTTGAAGCCAGGAGGTGATTTACAACATGTGCAAGGCAGTGAGCTCCATCAGCTGTGTGGCCTTCAACATTCACTTCAACTCGGACATCTCACCAGAAAGCAGTGGGGACTGGCCAATGCAGAAGCCTGCAAAGTGGAACAGAGCGTCATGGGGTGGGGGATGTGGGGCCTGCCTGCTCATCTGAGCACTGCTCCCTGAGGGTGTGATCTGCAGGCTTCCTGAAGGAGGGCTGTGAGCTCATCTGCGAGGCCCTGAGCCTGTGGAACATGGCTGAGGCCAAGCCCATGGGGATTTGTGTCTACTTGCACCTCCTTGCTCATCTCAGTACACTACAGGTGACTGTGCCGAGGTGGGCCTTGAGCATCCCCTGGGCTGTGTTAGCAAAGGGCTCTGGGCCTGGCCTGGCATTGAGGGATGGCAAATAAGGGGCCTGGGGTTGCATTGTCACCCCCTATGGTAGCATAAAATGAGAGAGTCCGACCTGCAGGACTGGAACCCTATCAAGGGGGTTAGGAGGCTGCTCACTTTCCCTCAGGGACCCATGTGGAGGAGCTGAGGGAGGTTAAGGAGACCCTAGGGACTCACTTGTTCTGTCTGGGCTTCCCTCTGCTCCATCGTTTGATGACCATTTTCTGGGAAGAGCTCAGGAACCTCCTGTGCTCTAGTGAGACGGGGCCTCCCCTCACAGGGTATTCTGAGACTGTGAGTGAGAAGCTAACACAGTGCCTTGCAATACTCACGGGAGCTGTCATCCTCTGTGACCATCACGTGGCCTTGTAGTGTTCAGACTGCCTGGCCTGCCTGGGGTTTGGTGAGGCTGTTTTGTGGTCAGCTGCTTTAGAAGCTCACTTTCTCTGCAATCAAACAGTGACTGTTTTCATGTCTGTTTATGGGTTTAAAAAATCCTAATATTTCCTTTATAGTAGTTTCAGCTTGCATGTGTTTATTTGTATAAATTTTAGTGGAATAAAGAGAGCTTAAGACAACAGCATTTTAAGGTCTTAATGAGGCATAGACTTTCATGTCACAACAGCTAATGTTGACCTCTGTTTGCTACCTTTGTGTAAAGTATACACATAAAGTACAGCCAGAGGTGACTAGAGCTGAGCTGCTTGGGCTTGCTTGCTGGCCTGCAGTCAGGTGGACTCTGGCTGCAAGGCGGTGCCCACCCTGGATCTACATCCCCCACTCTCTCTCCTTAGTCTCTGAGTAACCAACAAGGCCGTGCTAATGAGCGGGCGAGTGATGGGCATCGCGTACCCCAATACTATCTGGGAAGATTTGAATGCCAACTGGGCTGGAGCTGTTGGGATTAGGGGCTGTGGCTGCCTTGGCTTGTCATGGTGCCACCCACAGATGTGCCTGCCCTGTGCTGCTTCTCCAGCAACCGGCTGCCCATGGCCCTGAGCCTGTCACACCATGCTTGCTACCTCATGCTACTTGTGTTTGAAAAACCCATCCAGAGATGGCATTGCTGGATGTGAGTGCTGAAAAGGGGGCAGCACCTTTGTCCTGGGGGATTAGGAGCTGACCAGATTCCTCTTGACTCCCTCCCAGAACAAGAGGGGCAGGTGCTGCAATTAATGATGCCCCCCAGAAGATGTGTTTGCACTGGCTGAGGGAATACACGATGCAGAGACCTAAATGAAGACACGTGAATGGGGTGTGTGGGCATCAGTTAGCAACTGGGAAACAGGTGCCTCTCAGGCCTCTCGTGCTCCAGCAAGAGTGGAATATGCCTGTGCCCATGAGTGTAGACATCTGGAGTGTATACATTTGGCTGCTGCTTTTGCTGCCACTATCCCCAGGTCCAACCTGGCTTGAAGTCCAGGTTTTAAGTAAAAAAATAGGAGGCTTTTTGCCATACAGCTACTTGAGAGGCTGAGGTGAAAGCATCACTGGAGGCTAAGAGTTTGAGGCTGCAGTGACCCATGATTCAGCCACTGCACTGTCAGAGTGAGACCTGCGTGCACCCTTCTACAGATAATAGCTCTGGGGCATTTGGGGATCCCTACAGTCCGGGACATCTCCCTGTCCCCTGCTGCCTGTGCTTCTTCCCTTGCCTGCTGTCAGAGCCTAACATGGAGGAGGAGGTTGCTGCCCTGTGAGCCTGAGGGAGCTGTGTCTGACTGGGACTTCTGTCTGGGGTTTTGTGAAGAGCTACTTATGAGTATGGTCTGTACAGATACCTTGTTTCAAAGAAAGTGAGCATGAGCTAGCAAGTGTAGCCACCCCACAGCTGATAAACAACTTTGTCTTGTTTTTAAATCATCAATCTTCATTTCACATTGGAATAAAGTAATTGAAGCCTGCTACCCCAGCCTCGCCCGTGTGTTCTGTAACCCAGACTCATTTCGTTGTGTGGGCTGTTGTCAGAAATGTTATAAAAAAAATTACGCATAAATAATATCAAATGTAAAATTATGCTTATAATGTCACTTGAGTGGGTGGTAAGAGGGTAGAGTCACAGGAAATCTGTTGGGGTTTACACCCCTGATACTTACCAAGCTCATGAGAGTGTGGCAGAGGTGATCATCACCTGACATTTGTGGCAGAAGAGAAAAGTCCAGCCTGAAGGCCAGGTAAGGGAGAGGTGCCAGGTTGTGGGGCCAGGCCCTGCGCATGCTGGGCCTGTTATGTCACTGAACATCTAACTGCCCGGGAACCGGCTCTTTTCACATCATCTGAGGTAAGAGGATGGAGAAGCACTCTCCAGAAGTCACACTGCGCTGGGAGAATAGAGGAGAGCCTACAACTCACCATCCTAAGGTAGGTTTTACATTGAGCTGAACTGTCTTCGAGAGCTAATGAGATGGGAGGAAGACAGTCCCCCAGGTGCACCTGACAGCCAGAGCCTATGAAGTTAGGGGGGTTGTGTGGGGGTGGCCTGTTCCTATGAGAAGAGGAGCTTAAAGCTACTAAAGCTGGTGGCTGCTGCTCTGCCATCCCTCTACAGAGCAGGCAGGTCCTCAGCTGCATGTATAGCTGAATGTCTTTTGGAGTGTTAGAGAGTCCTCTATGTCTTAGAAATTTTGAAAAGAAAAACAAATCTCAATTTTAATGTTGATTAGTTTCTCTGAGCCAGTTGGGAAAAAGATGTCCTTCACCTCAAAGATTTAAGTGACACCGAAGGGTAGCCACCAGTGTCTCGGCCACTGAAGCCTCATGCATGCTCTCACTACCAGTTTGATTTGCAGCCCCATAGTTGTGTTGTACTACATATTCTTTCCTCTGGCCTTGTCCAGTGAACACGGTTCACATGGCTAACACCACTTCTTGAGATGCGAGCACCATGCAAAGCTGAGAACGGATTGGGTTTTGTGACGATTGTGCCTCCTCCTCACCTGAGAGGCCCATTTTTCCTGGTTGATTCATTAAGTGTATTAGTGCTGTCAGTCGCCTCTGGACAATTGAAATGACAAGTGGCTGTTGATTCATAAAGAAAATGAAGGCTTTAGATGTGAAACCCTCGTTTTCTCTTGTCCTTCTCTTAGGTGAAAGATTTTATTTTTTTCAAAAGGCTACATACTGGTATCCCAGCAGGTGTAGTGTGAGAACTGGCATATGTTAGGCTATGGTGTCAGTGTGGATGGGCAATTCTTCAAGATGGAAAACCAAGTCTCACTGAGTTGCTGGAGCCACAGTGACCTTTCTCCACATCCCCCACCATGGGCTTTCACTTTTCTCCTGTGCTTGAATTTTTTTCACATACAAATTCTTTATACACACACACAGACAGACACACACATATCTCACTCTGTCAATGCAGTGGCTGAATCATGGGTCACTGCATCTTCAAATTCTTAGGCTCCAGTGATGCTTTCAAATCAGCCTCTCAAGTAGCTGGGACTACAGGCATGCAAAGCTACACCCAGACAATTTTTAAATATTTTTCTAGAGACTGAGCCTACTTATGTTGCTCAGACTCGTCTTGAACTCCTGGGATCAAGCGATCATCCCACCTTGGCCACCCAAAGTGTTTAGATTACAGGTATGAGCTAGCACTCTCAGCAAAAATATATTTTAAAGAACCGTTACAACCAAATTATGAGTTATCATTATGCCACTGCCCTCCAGCCTGGGCACCAGAGCAAGACCTTGTATCCAAAAACTAAGCAAAACTAAGCAAGAACAAAAAAAAAACCTTATAACTAAATTAAACTTTGAAGATTGTGTCATCTGTGTCCTTCCCTGCCCTCCAAGCTATCAATGTTAAATATAATGGTTATTGAGAAAATGGTTAGATATTATTAAGAAATTTCTATATATCCTCCAGCTGAGAATAGGTATTCTGATGTGGCCCAAATATTTTCTCACCGCTACCTTCAGGGTCTAAACTAGCAAGTCAGGACACCTGCAGAGGACAGTTGACCATTTTCAAATAGAAAGAGAAATACCCCGTTCATGAGAGTAATCCAGTGATTTTCAAAAAGACAAGACACACTGACATCCAGCGCAGTCAGGGCACAATTACCTTGGAAAAATCACCTCACACAGAATGGTTGAGGAGACTTTCTAAGGTGAGCAAATTTGGGAAACATAATCCTTTCTTATTTATTTCCAGCCCCCGCTGCCCCCCTGATTCCTAATGGTCACACAACAGTGTGGTCAGCAGTGGGGTGCAGTGTTGTGAGAGAGGGGCTCAGGGATGGGATGAAGGTCTTTACCGCGTTACAAAAATGCAGGTTAAAAAGTTGCTAAAAAGATGTCTAAATATTCTAATTCGTACTGTTACATAGCTGCTAAGATGCATTATACAACAGACCCAGGTAAGGGAAAGAGCACGTGCATTTCAAGTCTCAGCTCACGTCTGAATTAGCTGTGATACTCTGGGCACGTGACCCCAAATATAGGAGCCTGTTTGCCTGTCAACCCAAAACAATCCTAAGCAAAAACAACAAAGCTTGAGGCATCCTGCTACCCGACTTCAAACTATACTACAAGGCTACAGTAACCAAAACAGCACAGTACTGATACCAAAACAGATATATAGACAAATGGAACAGAACAGAGGCCTCAGAAATAACATCACACATCTACAACCATCTGATCTCCGACAAACCTGACAAAAACAAGCAATGGGGAAAGATTTCCTACTTACCAAATGGTGCTGAAAGAACTGGCTAGCCACATTCAGAAAACAGAAATTGTACCCCTTCCTTACACCTTATGCAAACATTATCTTAAGATGGATTAAAGTCTTAAATGTAAAACACCAAACCATAAAAACCCTAGAAGAAAACCTAGGCAATACCATTCAGGACATAGGCATGAGCAAAGACTTCATGAATAAAATACCAAAAGCAATCACAACAAAAGCTAAAATTGACAAATGAGATCTAACTAAACTAACGAGCTTCTGCACAGCAAAAGAAGCTATCACCAGAGTGACCAGGCAACCTACAGAGTGAAAGAAAATTTTTGCACTCTATCCATGTGTCAGAGGTCTAATATCCAGAATCTACAAAGAACTTAAACAAATTCACACACACACAAAAAAAAACCATCAAAAAGTGGGCACAGAATATAAACAGACTCTTTTCAAAAGAAGATATTTGGCTGGGCGCGGTTGATCAAGTCTGTAATCCCAGCACTTTCAGCCGTGGAGGCAGGTGGATCATGAGGTCAGGTGTTCAAGACCAGCCTGGGCCGCATGGCGACACCGCATTTCTACTAAAAACACAAAAAATTAGTAGGATGTGTTGGCGGGTGACCTGTAATCCCAGCTTCTGGGGAGGCTAAGGCAGGAGAATCACTTGAACCTGGGTGGCAGATGTTGCAGTGAGCCGAGATCCTTCCACTGCACTCCAGCCTGGGTGACAGAGCAAGACTCCATCTTAAAAATAATAATAATAAGTAAAATAAATAGAAAAAGAAGAAGGAGAAGGAGAAGAAGAAGAAGAAGAAGAAGAAGAAGAAGAAAAGAAGAAGAAGAAGAAGAAGAAGAAGAAGAAGAAGAAGAAGAAGAAGAAGAAGAAGAAGAAGAAGGGGACCTTTATGTGGTCAACAAACACAAAAAAGAGAAAAGCTCATCATCACTGGAGACTAGAGAAATGCAAATCAAAACCACAATGGGATACCTTCTCACACCATGTTGAATGGCAGTTATTAAAAAGTTAGGAAACAACAGATGCTGGTGAGGCTGTGGAGGAATAGAAACACTTTTACACTGCTGGAGGGAGTGTAAATTAGTTCAACCATTATGGAAGACAGTGTGGTGATTCCTCAAGGATCTAGAACCAGAAATACCATTTGATCCAGCAATCTCATTACTGGGTATATACCCAAAGGAATATAAATCATTCTAGCATAAAGACACATGCACTCATATGTCTATTGCACCACTGTTTGCAATAGCAAAGACTTGGAACCAACCCTAATGCCCATCATTGATAGATTGGAAAAAGAAAATGTGGCACATATACACCATGAAATAATATGCAGCCATAAAAAGAATGAGTTCATGTCCTTTGCAGGGACGTGGATGAAGCTGGGAACCATTAACCTCAGCAAACTAACACGGGAACAGGAAAGCAAACACCATATGTTCTCACTCATATGTGGGAGTTGAAAAATGAGAACACATGGACACCTGGAGCCAAAGATCACACACTAAGGCCTGTTAAGGGGTTGAGGTCAAGGGGAGGGAGAAAATTAGGACAAATACCTAATGCATATGGGGCTTAAAACCTAGATGGCAGGTTGATAGGTGCAGCAAACCACCATGGCACATGTAAAACTATGTAACAAACCTGCACGTTCTGCACATGTATTCCAGAACTTAAAAACAAACTAACAAAAGTGCACTAAGTCTGAGGGGGAGTGGGGGTAAGGGCAGGAGTCAGGCGAGGGTGGGTGCGTCCTGGAGTTTTATCCAGTCATTGACACTGATGTGGGAACCGCCCAATCAGGCGCGCGGTGGCAGAGGAGAGGAAAGGAGGGCGTGGCTTCCTGCATTTGGCGGGATCTGTGTCTCTCGCTGGTGCTGGCACAGGAGCTTGGGATCTGTCTCCTCTTTCGCCTCCTGCACCTTGAGAGCCCTGGGCTACTCTGTCACAGCCCCTGTTGCCCTGCGATCTGTAGGTCCTTGGGGACGCATAGTTAAGGTGCCAGGACATCCTGGAAGCTGGGAAATGGTGAGTATACGGGGTTCGCCATCCCGAGAGGGGAGAACAGACTGTGAAACCGGCAGGACCGGCCTCCCCACGGTTAGCTCCGAGTCTCCCGCAGCTTGGCCCTCAGTCCCCTGTGGCTGCAAGATGGCCGCTGGGCCAGCAGCGAGGACCCCCACGTCCCGTCCGGCCCATCCGGTCCTGTCCCTGGGCAGCGCCCTGCTCTGCGCCCACAGCCATGAGTATTTCCCAAATTGTTCAGGGAGGCCAGATGGGTCATCAGGGAAAAACCGCGAGTGGGTGTTTGCGTGGGAGGAGCTGCGGCCCGTGGGGTCCACAGTCTCTCGTGTTAAAAATTAACGGGAGTCTATGTTAAAAGGTTCATCAGTTTATCTGAACAAAGAGTGATTGGTGAAATGGAAAGCACCCAGCCATGATTTCTGGTCCACCAGAGGGGCATAAAGGAAAGGCTTTCATAAGATGCATGAGAAAGCAACCCAAATTCAAGAATTGGTTCCAGTTATATGGTAGCCTTATTTGAACTATCCAGATGGAAATGTCCTGGTTACATATTCAGAGGTTAATTGCATGTTTGTCATGGGTTAAACCTGCATTTTGCTTCAGGCTAAGATAGTGTTTTATAGGAAATATATTTGAGTTAGGTTTTAGATTTTTTTTTGTTTGTTTTTTGTTTTTTACCTATGAACACAGGGCACTAGAGCCACTTTAGACTAATTTTCTGATCTTTAATTATTTTAACACTCCAGAGGAGGACTGGTTTTCTCCTGTGTTTTTTTAATGTATGGCAAGTGGAACCTCTAATCGACCACCCTGTTTTTCATCCTAACTCAGGCTTGCAGTAAAATTATCAGTTCCCACTTTCTTTGCTGCATTCTCAAACGCAACACATGAGACCAGCTTTCCCTTGCCAATTTACAATGCTGTTAACTATATGTCCTTTATTATACATTTCGTTAAAGTTTTCTATTATTGGGTTTCTTTCTACTTCTCCCTACAGTTCTGGCAATATTTGCTTTTTATATTTAGAAGCCTCCCTTTTGGGTGCATAAATATATAAAGCTATATTCTCTTGAGAAATTAACCTCTATTATTGTATGGTAAACTCATTTCATTCTTGTGAGAGACATTGCTAGAAAGTCTATTTTGTCTAATTTAAGCATTACCATTTCACTCCTTTGGTTATTATTTGCATGGAATATCATTTTCTATCCTTTCACTTTTAGCCTATGCTCTTAATTCATAATTGAGTCTCTTGTAAGCAGCATATTATGAGGTTTAAAAGATTAATTTATCCACTCTGTCTGCTTTAGTCTCTTTTGGCTGCTATAACAGAATATCACACACTGGTAATTAATAAAGAATAGAATTTTATTTGACTCATGATTCTGGAGGCTGGGAAGCCAAAACAACATTATACTGGTATATGTTGAAGGTCTAGTTGCTGGATAATAACATACACAAAGATGTGAGGGAGAGAGAGCTTTTTTTTTTTAATATATAACAGATC